>NC_000001.11:248153818-248305333 GCF_000001405.40 Homo sapiens | reverse complement strand
GCATTCAGAATGGGTTTGTGATTTTTTTAAGTGTTTTATTTATTCTATCAGTCTTTTAAACACATGTTTATTGCTGCATTTTTCCAGTATATTATTATTTTACCTCTTCTGTAGTACTGGAATTTAGTAGAAAGAATAAAACATTTACTCCCCCTCAAAAAGAAAGAAAGAAGTGAGAGCACAAAAAATATAGGTTTCTGTTATCTCTAGAGGCAAAGAACAAATAACATACATTCAGGTTATGTGCACACAGACTTCTACTAATTTCTAATATTTCATTTATTATTTTATTTTTATATTTTATATTTTATTTTTGAGATGGTGTCTTGCTCAGTGACCCAGGCTGGAATGCCATGGCGTGATCTCAACTCATTGCAACGTCCACCTCTCAAGTTGAAGTGATTCTCCTGCCTTAGCCTCTCAAGTAGCTGGGATTACAGGCCTGTGCCACCACACCAGCAAATTTTTGTATTTTCTGTCGTGACAGGGTTTCACCATATTGGCCAGGCTAGTATCAAACTCCTGACCTCAAGTGATCTGCCCACCTCGGCCTCTCAAAGTGCTGAGATTACAGGCATGAGGATCCGTGCATGGCCTGTAATATTTTATTTTAAGCTGGTGATGGGTACATTGGTGTTTAATTTGTTTTATACATTATCTTCCACTGAAATATTTCTAATGATACAAATTAGCTATCATTGTAATTCAGGCTATGATTAATTTAAGGAAAACAACACAATTATATCAGTAAAAGCAGGATATCATTCAAAACAATTCACTGAACATTTATTGAACAAAGCATTGGTAAAAGATAAAATGGGATTTTGTTAATGTGCTTAATCTGTCTACCTAAGCCTCAGACAAACACTATATCTAATGGAGAACCATAATTGCTAAAGGCTTAAGGTAGTCAATATTATTCTTCAACATTTCAATAATATATATTTTAAGCAATGAAGAATGGAAAATAGATAAAATTGGAAAGAGATCTAAAGTTGTTTCAACCATTGTATATAATATTTTTCTCTGCAATAAGGAATACAAAAATAAACATAGCATTCTTGGATTCATGGTCTATAAGCAACAATTAATAGATTTCTATATATTAACAAAAAGAAATAGAAGAAATAATACACACAATATTCCATACACTCAAGCAACAAAATATACCCATGAACATTTCTATTTTATAATAACAATTTTTACGGAAAATATATACACTAGTTTTAAGGGATAGAAAACATATAAAGGAACATACAAATAGAATTAGAATTACGTAGGGAACCTCAAGATGTTAAAAGTGCCAATTCTACCCAAGCATATCTTGCTTTGACAATGGAGCAGAAGGAACAGTGAAGAGAAGCCATAGAAGAGGAATGATATTAGCTCTGAACGCCCTGACTGCCATTCTCTAGCTCTGACACTTCAAATTACATAAACTTCTGCCCTTAGTTTCATAATGCAAAAAAATGAGGATATAATTAAAGATAATATATAATAATATATACATGTGTCTAATAGAGGTATCTGACATACACAATGGTTGTGGGTAATATGTGAGCTTACAAACACTTTTTAACTGCAGTGCCAGTTATACAGAAAGCACTTGATGTGTCTCACCTCATCATGTGAGAGAGAGGGAGAAGTTTCAGAAAGTTCACACTAACCTACAGGGAAAGGGACATAATTATCTTTGTAGTATTTTCAAGAAAAGGAAGCTAATTCGGCTTCATGTCCTAGGAGAGGAGATAGAAGGTAATACAAACTTTCATAATTAAAGACAAGGGAATGGATTCCACAAGGGCTAAAAATTTAAGTTTTTGTCTTTTCATTCATTTGTCAATAACCATAAAGATTCCAACTGTATATTAGGTGCTTTTTTCCTGGTGATGGAAACATAAAAACATGTAAGATATTTATATGTTTTTGCCTTTTTAGGAAACTACAATCTCATTGAAAATATACACTATTCAGATCAGTACTAAGAGGTAAGTTAACCAAGCACAAGCAAGACTGTGTATAAGCTAGTGCCGAAATTTCTGCTGAACGTGGTGATGATTAATTTCATTTCTTAATCATTTTTGGTCTGAGAATTTTATGAATTTTATTCTATTTTATCTGTACAATATGACTTTGAGAAATGTGGTACAACCTGAAGCAGAAGGAGTGGTTACCTGCCTCAGCTTATCAATGTGAAAGATGGGATAAAATCTATAATTTTTGTTTTGATATGTCCTGGCATTCTAGAGTTGAAAAAGATATTGATAGTGAATGGGAGTCAGAGGAGAAACGTAGCAGATGAGAACAGGACATGATTTGAAAGTTTTGGCCACATTCTCTTTTCTTTAAATAATTGTAGCTCATGCAGGATGAGAATCCCTAAACCAAAAATCGAATATCCAAAATCAGAACCATTTAGAGTACTGACATGAGACTGTGTCACTCTTGCTTTCTGATGGTTCAGTGTACACAGACTTTCTCCCTTACACAAAATTATTTTAAAATATGGCATAAAATTACATTCAGGCTATGTGTATAAGGTATACATAGAATATAAGTTAATTTTGTCTCTCCTTTGGGTTCCATTCTCAGGACATCTCCTTATACATATGCAAATATTTCAAAGTGTTAAAAAATCTGCAATCTGCAACACATCTGGTCCCAAGCATTTTGGATAAAGAATCCTCAACCTGTATTAATGAATGTTTCCATTTGTCATGTGCTCCTCCAAGACATTTACACCTATTATTTAAATATGTTTTTAAACTTGGAATATACAAAAATGTTTATTTACAACAAATATGTTGGATATACATTTTGTAAAATGCTTTAAAATATTACCAGTGCTTTCGAAACACAGCTTAACTCTCTCTGATCATGTAAACTTTCAGCCAATTTTGTAGATAATCATTATTGCAGTGTTGCTGTGCTTTATAATAGATTTATGTATATATGTTTAAATTACTCATAATAGGATTCATGAAGTCATTCCCTGTGATCTACTTTGTTCATTCAACATTCTATTTGTGAAACTCATCAATGCTACTTCTTGTAGTTATGCTTATAAATTCCATTTTTAGTGCATATGCAGGTTGCATTTTATTATTACAAATAAAATTGCTATGATCATTATTGCCAATATGAGAGATTTGTTGCTTTGTTTTGTTTTGTTTCCTGATCATTCCTACTGCAAAAGGGTAACGTCATTTTAGCAACCTCGGTGGACTACACAGTGGATTACACATGCTGTCTGACATTATTTCACATAAGGCTTCACTTCTTTTTTTTTTTTTTATCAAGTTCTGGCCTCTCAATGTCTCCTTTCCATCATCTCACTCAGTGCCTTCTCAATTTCTCATCCAGATTTTCATGGTTTCTGTGTTACTATTGCTCTGGCCTGTGCACAGTATCACAGTGTCATAAAATCTGACCATGATTTTCAAGAATTTTGTGTTACAATATATTGCTCTGCGCATGTGCACAGTATCACAGTGTAATGAAATCTGATGACTCCTCTTGCAGACATGATGAGGTTAATACATAAAAAAGACATTTAAAAAAACTGAACGTATGCACCATCTTTTTACAAAATGACGGAATTTATTACAACAGAAACAATGTAGATTAGATAAAATAAATAAAATTAGAAGCATAAAATTTCAACTAAGGGAAAAATACTTGGTAGGCAACGTCTAATGCAGAGTTCAAAATATTTTACCTCATTACATGAATACCTTTAGTACAGTATTGAAACTCAAAATGTTCTGCTTTTTTTGGCAGTGAAGAGTCCTGGATAACTTGGAGTTGCAATGATATTTCACCACAGATCCATTTTTATAGGAATATATACAAATACCTCTTGGAATCCCAATGTTATCTTCACTGCATTTTCAGATTGTTTATATCCTGGATAACTTACACTGAGCTTCAGGATTGGGTCTCATATTCCTGGTGCCTAAAGGTAAGCACAATTTCTCATATGTATCTTACTTACTTAGAAGGAATGTCAAATTTCTCGTTAGAAACAACATTATTTTTCTTTATAGAATTTTATTGAATAAATGTTCACATGGATCTTAATATAGAAGGCATAGGGCAATCTAGTGCTCAGTATTTTCAATTTTATCACTTATAAACTGTTATAAATTTGTGATATATCTTGCCACATTCTCTGTGACAGGATGAAATCAATGAAGTCAATTTTAGCATGTGGGTATGAAGGGAATTTTGAGGCAATGAAGGGAGGTGAAAAAATACAACACAAATAAGAGTGCATTTATATAAATTCAGCCTAAACTAATGTGATGGAGACAATTCAGAGGGATATGTAGATTTACATTTGTAATCAATTTTGTTTTAATGCTGCATCATTCAATGGAATGTAAAACATATGGTAGAAATGTCTAAGTGATCAAGTAGAATTAATCACCATTTTATCTCAACTTAGTGACTTGGAAGTAGTGTTTCCCAAATGTAAAGAACACTTTGCCAACTGAAAAAGAAGCATAGGGAGAAGCGAACTTGACCACATAGCTTCCTTCTTGCAAGGAAGCTCATAGCAAGACTCACTTAAAGACAAATTATGGTGGAAATCTGAGGTAATACCGTTTTATTTGGATAAATTGTGTATTACAACAGTTGACAAGATCCAGATAACTGGGACAGCTATGGTATGATGGTCAAAATAGGTGGTTCCATAAAGTAAGTTGAGATGAGTTATTTTCTTGAAGTGAATTCCGCTCATAAGCACTGGAAATTATTGAGGCAATACAATGTATTTTCCCAATTTTCCTTAAAAGCCCACCTCTTCTTGAGGTTAACACAATGGCACCCTGAGGTGGGAAACCCACAACACTAAAGATCCCAGAAATGCCCATTTCTCATTCTCAAGACATTGACTGAACCTAGATCTCAGATACCAATAATCAGGTTTATCCAAGTTCTTGATTTGTTTTAAAACCAGAAAGGGAGGAGGTTGAGACCTGTTTCTCTCTTCATGATGATTGACAAAAATGATTTGCCTACTATCATGTGATCGAAGACACAAATTTAATCTCCATTTCTAGTATTGTGCTGGTCACATGCTGACTGAAGCTGAATTTCTCTATCAATTTATCTGTAAAAGACTTCTGATGTTATAGGAACTATCTGTTTGCTTTGGAGACATATTCTTTTTGGAAAAACTCGATCACATATTAGACATCGTTTTTCTATTTTTTTAATTTTATTATTATTATACTTTAAGTTTTAGGGTACATGTGCACAATGTGCACATGCTATTAATTTCCCTCTACATACTGCTTTGAATGTGTCCCAGAGATCCTGGTATATTGTGTCTTTGTTCTTGTTGGTTTCAAAGAACATCTTTATTTCTGCCTTCATTTCGTTATGTACCCAGTAGTCATTCAGGAGCAGGTTGTTCAGTTTCCATGTAGTTGGGCGGTTTTGAGTGAGTTTCTTAATCCTGCGTTCTAGTTTGATTGCACCGTGGTCTGAGAGACAGTTTGTTATAATTTCTGTTCTTTTAGATTTGCGGAGGAGAGCTTTACTTCCAACTATGTGGTCAATTTTGGAATAGGTGTGGTGTGGTGCTGAAAAAAATGTATATTCTGTTGATTTGGGGTGGAGAGTTCTGTAGATGTCTATTAGGTCCGCTTGGTGCAGAGCTGAGTTCAATTCCTGGGTATCCTTGTTAAATTTCTGTCTCGTTGATCTGTCTAATGTTGACAGTGGGTGTTGAAGTCTTCCATTATTATTGTGTGGGAGTCTAAGTCTGTTTGTAGGTCACTCAGGATTTGCTTTATGAATCTGGATGCTCCTGTATTGGGTGCATATATATTTAGGATAGTTAGCTCTTCTTGTTGAATTCATCCCTTTACCATTATGTGATGGCCTTCTTTGTCTCTTTTGATCTTTGTTGGTTTAAAGTCTGTTTTATCAGAGACTAGGATTGCAACCCCTGCCTTTTTTTGTTTTCCATTTGCTTGGTAGATCTTCCTCCATCCTTTTATTTTGAGCCTATGTGTGTCTCTGCACGTGAGACGGGTTTCCTGAACACAGCACACTGATGGGTCTTGACTCTTTATCCAATGTGCCAGTCTGTGTCTTTTAATTGGAGCATTTAGCCCATTTACATTTAAAGTTAATATTGTTATGTGTGAATTTGATCCTGTCATTATGATGTTAGCTGGTTATTTTGCTCGTTAGTTGATGCAGTTTCCTCCTAGCCTTGATGGTCTTTACAATTTGGCATGATTTTGTGGTGGCTGGTACCCGTTGTTCCTTTCCATGTTTAGTGCTTCCTTCAGGAGCTCTTTTAGGGCAGGCCTGGTGGTGACAAAATCTGTCAGCATTTGCTTGTCTGTAAAGTATTTTATTTCTCCTTCACTTATGAAGCTTAGTTTGGCTAGATATGAAATTCTGGGTTGAAAATTCAAAAGCTAGCAGAAGGCAAGAAATAACTAAAATCAGAGCAGAACTGAAGGAAATAGAGGCACAAAAAACCCTTCAAAAAATTAATGAATCCAGGAGCTGGTTTTTTGAAAGGATCAACAAAATTGATAGACCGCTAGCATGACTAATAAAGAAAAAAAGAGAGAAGAATCAAATAGACGCAATAAAAAATGATAAAGGGGATATCACCACCGATCCCACAGAAATACAAACTACCATCAGAGAATACTACAAACACCTCTACGCAAATAAACTAGAAAATCTAGAAGAAATGGATAAATTCCTCGACACATACACCCTCCCAAGACTAAACCAGGAAGAAGTTGAATCTCTGAATAGACCAATAACAGGAGCTGAAATTGTGGCAATAATCAATAGCTTACCCACCAAAAAGAGTCCAGGACCAGAAGGATTCACAGGCAAATTCTACCAGAGGTACAAGGAGGAACTTGTACCATTCCTTCTGAAACTATTCCAATCAACAGAAAAAGAGGGAATCCTCCCTAACTCATTTTATGAGGCCAGCATCATCCTGATACCAAAGCCGGGCAGAGACACAACCAAAAAAGAGAATTTTAGACCAATACCCTTGATGAACATTGATGCAAAAATCCTCAATAAAATACTGGCAAACCAAATCCAGCAACTCATCAAAAAGCTTATCCACCATGATCAAGTGGGCTTCATCGCTGGGATGCAAGGCTGGTTCAATATAAGCAAATCAATAAATGTAATCCAGCATATAAACAGAGCCAAAGACAAAAACCACATGATTATGTCAATAGATGCAGAAAAGGCCTTTGACAAATTTCAACAACGCTTCACGCTAAAAACTCTCAATAAATTAGGTATTGATGGGACATATCTCAAAATAATAAGAGCTATCTATGACAAACCCACAGCCAATATCATACTGAATGGGCAAAAACTGGAAGCATTCCCTTTGAAAACTGGCACAAGACAGGGATGCCCTCTCTCACCACTCCTATTCAACATAGTGTTGGAAGTTCTGGCCAGGGCAATTAGGCAGGACAAGGAAATAAAGGGTATTCAATTAGGAAAAGAGGAAGTCAAATTGTCCCTGTTTGCGGATGACATGATTGTATATCTAGAAAACCCCATTGTCTCAGCCCAAAATCTCCTTAAGCTGATAAGCAACTTCAGCAAAGTCTCAGGATACAAAATCAATGTACAAAAATCACAAGCATTCTTATACACCAATAACAGACAGAGAGCCAAATCATGAGTAAACTCCCATTCACAATTGCTTCAAAGAGAATAAAATACCTAGGAATCCAAGTTACAAGGGACGTGAAGGACCTCTTTAAGGAGAACTGCAAACCACTGCTCAATGAAATAAAAGAGGTTACAAACAAATGGAAGAACATTCCATGCTCATGGGTAGGAAGAATCAATATCGTGAAAATGGCCATACTGCCCAAGGTAATTTATAGATTCAATGCCATCCCCATCAAGGTACCAATGACTTTCTTCACAGAATTGGAAAAAACTACTTTAAAGTTCATATGGAACCAAAAAAGAGCCCACATCACCAAGTCAATCCTAAGCGAAAAGAACAAAGCTGGAGGCATCACGCTACCTGACTTCAAACTATACTACAAGGCTACAGTAACCAAAACAGCAAGGTACTGGTACCAAAACAGAGATATAGATCAATGGAACAGAACAGAGCCCTCAGAAATAACGCTGCATATCTACAACTATCTGATCTTTGACCAACCTGAGAAAAACAAGCAATGGGGAGAGGATTCCCTATTTAATAAATGGTGCTGGGAAAACTGGCTAGCCATATGTAGAAAGCTGAAGCTGGATCCCTTCCTTACACCTTATACAAAAATCAATTCAAGATGGATTAAAGACTTAAACGTTAGACCTAAAACCATAAAAACCCTAGAAGAAAACCTAGGCGTTACCATTGAGGACATAGGCACGGGCAAGGACTTCATGTCTAAAACACCAAAAGCAATGGCAACAAAAGACAAAATTGACAAATGGGATCTAAGTAAACTAAAGAGCTTCTGCACAGCAAAAGAAACTACCATCAGAGTGACAGGCAACCCACAAAATGGGAGAAAATTTTCGCAACCTGCTCATCTGACAAAGGGCTAATATCCAGAATCTACAATGAACTCAAACAAATTTACGAGAAAAAACAAACAACCCCATCAAAAAGTGGGCGAAGGACATGAACAGACACTTCTCAAAAGAAGACATTTATGCAGCCAAAAAACACATGAAAAAATGCTCACCATCACTGGCCATCAGAGAAATGCAAATCAAAACCACAATGAGATATCATCTCACACCAGTTAGAATGGCAATCATTAAAAAGTCAGGAAACAACAGGTGCTGGAGAGGATGTGGAGAAATAGGAACACTTTTACACTGTTGGTGGGGCTGTAAACTCGTTCAACCATTGTGGAAGTTAGTGTGGCAATTCCTCAGGGATCTAGAACTAGAAATACCATTTGACCCAGCCATCCCATTACTGGGTATATACCCAAAGGTCTATAAATCATGGTGCTATAAAGAAACATGCACACATATGTTTATTGCGGCACTATTCACAATAGCAAAGACTTGGAACCAACCCAAATGTCCAACAATGATAGACTGGATTAAGAAAATGTGGCACATATACACCATGGAATACTATGCAGCCATAAAAAAGGATGAGTTCATGTCCTTTGTAGAGACATGGATGAAATTGGAAATCATCATTCTCAGTAAACTATTGCAAGGACAAAAAACCAAACACCGGGTATTCTCACTCATAGGTGGGAACTGAACAATGAGAACACATGGACACAGGAAGGGGAACATCACACTCTCGGGACTGTTGTGGGGTTGGGGGAGGGGGGAGGGATAGCACTGGGAGATACACCTAATGCTAGATGAGGAGTTAGTGGGTGCAGCGCACCAGCATGTCACATGTATACATATGTAACTAACCTGCACATTGTGCACATGTACCCTAAAACTTAAAGTATAATTAAAAAAATAACAAAACTAAAAAAAAAATTTTTATTCATTTTGATCTGTAAATATACTCCTGTTTGTAGTACATGATCTCAGTTAGAACATTAAAAAGTTGAGCTATAGAGAAGTGAATGCCAGGTCAGGAAAAGCTGTGCCTACTGGGAGTCAGGGCTTTGAATCACGACCTGGGATAACATATCCAGTACATATGTCCAGAAACTGTGCAGTCAAACAGTTATTCAGACCATAAAAGCCTCTTCTTTCTCTATTTTTCCATTTGCACCATCACACCAGGGGAAATTATGGAGATGAGAAATACTACCCCAGATTTTATTCTCCTAGGACTCTTTAACCACACCAGAGCCCACCAAGTCCTCTTCATGATGCTTCTGGCCACCGTTTTGACCTCCCTGTTTAGCAATGCCCTCATGATTCTCCTGATTCACTGGGACCACCGGCTCCACAGGCCCATGTACTTCCTCCTGAGCCAACTTTCCCTCATGGACATGATGCTGGTTTCCACCACTGTGCCCAAAATGGCGGCTGACTACTTGACCGGAAATAAGGCCATCTCCCGCGCTGGCTGTGGTGTGCAGATCTTCTTCCTCCCCACACTGGGTGGTGGAGAGTGCTTCCTCTTAGCAGCCATGGCCTATGACCGCTATGCGGCTGTCTGCCACCCACTCCGATATCCCACTCTCATGAGCTGGCAGCTGTGCCTGAGGATGACCATGTCGTCCTGGCTCCTGGGTGCAGCTGACGGCCTCCTGCAGGCTGTTGCTACCCTGAGCTTCCCATATTGCGGTGCACACGAGATCGATCACTTCTTCTGCGAGGCCCCCGTGTTGGTGCGTTTGGCTTGTGCTGACACTTCAGTCTTCGAAAACGCCATGTACATCTGCTGTGTGTTAATGCTCCTGGTCCCCTTTTCCCTCATCCTGTCCTCCTATGGTCTCATCCTCGCTGCTGTTCTGCTCATGCGCTCTACAGAAGCCCGCAAGAAGGCCTTTGCCACCTGCTCTTCACATGTGGCTGTGGTGGGACTCTTTTATGGAGCTGGCATTTTTACCTATATGAGACCCAAATCCCACAGGTCCACTAACCACGATAAGGTTGTGTCAGCCTTCTATACTATGTTCACCCCTTTACTAAATCCCCTCATCTACAGTGTGAGGAACAGTGAGGTCAAGGAAGCCCTGAAACGGTGGCTGGGGACGTGTGTAAACCTAAAACACCAGCAAAATGAGGCCCACAGGTCAAGATGATCTAGTGTCAGATGAGTCTAAGTTCCTGAATTTATTAACATTTTAACACTATGTAATTCTCTCCCTTTAGTAATTCATGAAGAGAAAATTAAGTTTGTGTATTGATATAATAAGATATTTTTAAGAATGAAGTGAGCCAATTGTATTGACAGATACCATTTTTGAGCATTTATGTACTTTTCTTCAAGTGAAGTAATACCTATAGATTACTTTGTATCCTACAACAACCCCATGATATAAGTTTTCTTTTTTTCTTTTGCAAACTCCAAATCTTTAAAAGGTGTCCCAAATTTTTCATCAAAAATATCTCTACTTACCTATGCCTTGGGAGAAGTAAGGTAACCCAATAATGTATAAGGTTGTTGAGTGTTACTCAATTTCCTACTATCTGAAAAAAGAAATTAACACATGGAAAGTTAAATATGGTTCCTAATTTCACATAGAACAGAAATATTAAAAAGTGACTCCAAAGCTTGTACCCTAACCTGGAAGAGTTTATTTCTGTTCAATAATGTATTTTGAGTGTTATTTCCCATGTGTATGCTCTACAATTAAAAACTAAATATGAGGACTCCACCAAAGACAAATAACATTATTTTTAAGTTATATTTTAAAATATAGATGCATGACAAAAGGGGAAGTACACAACTCAAATGTAACTGCTATATTGTCACAATCTTTTTTTATTTTTTCCAGTCTCTTTTTATTTGGTGTTTTAAGGCAAACTTTTTTAAATTCATGTAATTTTTTATATAAGTAATATTTATCTTTTCCAAGAGCGTCATTGTAATTGCATTGGAAAATTGTTTTAAACTACAAATAAGTTCTCTTTTCTACACGTGCTTTAAGGTTACCTTGACTTATTGACATACCTCCATCGATATGAACTCTGAATTGCATGATCATGCTGAATCTTGACAGTTACTAACAATGAGTTATCAAAGCTGAGTAAGACTCAACAACCTTATACATTATTGGGTTACCTTACTTCTCCCAAGGCATAGGTAAGTAGAGATATTTCTGATGAAAAATTTGGGACACATTTTAAAGATTTGGAGTTTGCAGAAGAATAAAAGAAGACTATACTATTATTAAAGACACAAGATAGATAGTGATGGAGGAAAGCAGTGGTTATCAAAGCCAAATTGTAATCAGAGACTGGATATCAAATTGTCTTAGAGAGTTTTATGATAAAGGCTATATTTCCCATATGTAAAACACACTTAAGAAATAATATAAGTTTTTAACACGAAGGAGGAAATAACTAAGAGCTTCCAGGGACAATGTATCTTCAATATAAGTGTCTGAAAGTTAACCCGCCATTTCAGACCAACCTGAATTTCAAAAGGTAACTGTTCTAGAACAAGTGAAAGGAGTTTCCTGCTTCATCTAGATCTTCAGGTTCCAAAGCAGTAATATAGTTAAGATAGTACCTTAACCACTGCATGCAGATCCTGAGCCCATGTCTTAAGAGAAGGCTATTCAGTAAACTCTTGTCTCCTTGGAAGACTTGAGGATGACAGGAGAGAGTGTCATCTGTTTAAGACTAAGAGTTTCCTACTCTTGTTAATTAATCTCCTTACCCAGTGTTAGAGTGAGAAAGGAACAGAACTGCACAAATTCTGTCATTATACCATCTAAAAAATCTTCTCTTAGAATGGGTGAAAATTACACAAGTACATGTAGTCGTGGAAATTTCATTACTCATACCAGGTTCATGCACCATCAGAGAAATTATTTTAGAACACGTTGAGTTACAAATGGTAAACTAAGCCTTTAAAATTTTGTAAGGATAAAATATTCTAACCAGAAAATTAAGCCTAATGTTCAGGAGAAAACTAAAACAACAACAACAACAAAACCACGGAATGAACATTATCTCCAAGCAAACGTAAGACATTAATAAAAACACAAAATATGTATAAAAATAGACATGTTTCAAAGAAGTGGTATTTCAGACTAGTTATCTGATCACAATGAAAATAAATATGAAATAAAAATTTTAAATACTTTTAGAAATTATATGTTCATTTCTTATTGCTTTTGTAACTTGCAGATGTTTCTACTCTTATTTTCTTAATAAAGGTTTGCATAGAAAATCTTCAAAATCTTCAAAATGACAGGTTAACTTTCAGACACTTATATTGAAGATACATTGTCTCTGGAAGCTTTTAGTTATTTCCCATTGTGTGTTTGAAAATGAGAAGATATGGTTCTTATGAATCTCTAAAGTTAAAGAAGGAGTACCTGATAGAGACAGAGTATACAAGAGCATGAATGGTAGAAACAAAATTTTGAATGAGGAGTTACTTCGAACATATGAAGCTCTAGCACCCAGTAACACAGAATCAAGATGAGGCTTTGAACTAATCTTGGATATTACCTGCTATCTTCAATCATTCTGGCTCTTTCCTTTACACTGCCTATATATTCTCTTTAATGTGTAATTTTTAAGTCATTAAGAAACATAATGTTGTGGCTCCGACTAGAATTTATTCATCTTCTGCTGTGCAGAAGCTATTTAGTTTAATTATATCCCATTTGTCAATTTTGGCTTTTGTTGCCATTGCTTTGGTGTTTTAGTCATGAAGTCTTTGCCCATGCCTATGTCCTGAATGGTACTGCCTAGGTTTTCTTCTAGGGTTTTTATGGTTTTATGTTTTATGTTTAAGTCTTCATCTTGAGTGATTTTTTGTATAAAGTTGAAGGAAGGGGTCCAGTTTCAGTTTTCTCCATATGGCTAGCCAGTTTTCCCAACATCATTTATTAAATAGGGAATCCTTTCCCCATTGCTTGTTTTTGTCAGGTTTGTCAAAGAAGAGATGGTTGTATGGCATGAATTCTGAGGCCTCTGTTCTGTTTATTGGTCTATATATCTGTTTTGGTACCAGTACCATGCTGTTTTGGTTACTGTAGCCTTGTAGTAAAGTTTGAAGTAAGGTAGCATGATGCCACCAGCTTTGTTCTTTTTGCTTAGGATTGTCTTGGCTAAATGGGCTCTTTATTGATTCCATATGAAATTTAAAGTATTTTTTTCTAATTCTGTGAAGAAAGTCTATGGTAGCTTGATGGGGATAGCACTGAATGTATTAATTACTTTGGGCACTATGGTTTTTTTCATGGTATTGATTCTTCCTATCCATGAGCATGGAATATTTTTTCATTTGTTTGTGTCCTCTCTTATTTCCTTGAGCAGTGGTTTGTAGTTCTCCTTGAAGAGGTCCTTCATATCCTTTATAAGTTGTATTCCTAGGTGTTTTATTCCCTTTGTAGCAATTCTGAATGGGAATTCACTCATGATTTGGCTCTCTGTCTATTATTGGTGTATGGGAAAGCTTGTGATTTTTACACATTGATATTGTATCCTGAGACTTTGCTGAAGTTGCTTATCAGCTTAAGGAGATTTTGAGCTGAGATGATGGGGTGTTCTAAATATGCAATCATGTAATCTGCAAACAGAGGCAGTTTGACTTCCTCTCTTCCTTTGGATTCATCAGAGTAAACAGGCAACTTAGAGAATGGGAGAAAATTTTTGCAATCTATCCATCTGACAAATGGCTAATATCAAGAATCTACAAGGAACTTAAACATATTTATAAGAAAAAAAAAACAACCCCATCAAAAAGTGGGCAAAGTATATGAACAGACATTTCTCAAACGAAGACATTTATGTGGCCAAGAAATATATGAAAAAAAGCTCATCATCACTGGTCCTTATAGAAATGCAAATCGAAACCACAGTGAGATACCATGTCACATCAGTTAGAATGGCAATTATTAAAAAGTCACCAACATGGCACATGTATACATATGTAACAAACCTGCACATTGTGCACATGTACCCTAAAACTTAAAGTATAATAAAATAAAGTAAAAAAAGTCAGGAAACAACAGACGCTGGCACGTATGCGGAGAAATAGCAACGCTTTTACCATGTTGTTTTGGGAGTGTAAATTAGTTCAACCATTGTGGAAGACAGTGTGGTGATTCCTCAAGGATCTAGAACTAGAAATGCCATTTGACCCAGAAATCCCATTTCTGGGTATATACCCAAAGGATTTTAAATCATTCCACTAAAAAGACACATGCACACATATGTTTATTGCAGTTATTCCCAATAGTAAATATGTGAATCCAACCCAAAAGCCCATCAATGATAGACTGGCTAAAGTAGCTGTGGCACATATACACCACAAATACTATACAGCCATTGGAAAGGATGAGTTTATGTCCTTTGCAGGGACATGGATGAAACTGGAGACCATCATTCCCAGGAAACTAACACAGGAACAGAAAACCAAACACCGCATGTTCTCATTCATAAGTGGAATTAAATAGGGAATCCTTTCCCCATTGCTTGTTTTTGTCAGGGTTGTCAAAGAACAGATGGTTGTATGGCATTAATTCTGAGGCCTCTTTTCTGTTTATGAGGCCTCTGTTCATGAACAATGAGAATACATGGACACAGGGAGGGAAACATCACACATTGGGACCTTTTGGGGGGTGGGGGGCTACAGGAGGTACAGCATTAGGAGAAATACCTAATGTAGATGACGGGTTGATGGGTGCAGCAAACCACCATGGCACGTGTGTACCTATGTAACAAACCCGCACGTTCTGCACATGTAACCCAGAACTTAAAGTATAATTTTAATAAATTAAAATAAATACCTAATACAATAAAAAAGAATTCATTCATCTTCAATGTGCAATTGATTTACATTAATACAGATTTATTTAATACAGTTAATGCAAATCTTAATTGTACAACTGATAATTTTTTTACATATGTAAAAAATCGTATGTATCTGTGTAACTACAACAAAGATCATCTAGTACCCTTTATGTCTTCCTTTTGTCTCTTCCAAGTCAATACCTTCACAAAGGAAATCATTATTCTAACATACTGGTGGGGAGGGAGAGCTGACTCTTCTTGCTGATTTGTTAAGAATTTTTTATGCATGTTGGATATCAATATTTTGCCCAATATCTTCCAATGTGTGGCTTGCATCTCTTTCATAATGGAGATGTTTTATGAGCAGAAAGTTTTAGTTGTATGAAGATAAATTCATCAATCTTTTATTTCATGGTTTTTCTTTTGGTGTTCTTTAAGAAATCTTGGTCTAACCCAAGACATAAAGATAGTCTACTATGCTAACGTTGTAATTCTTTTCCAATTAGTTCGTGCATATATGTTGTTGGATCATTACATACTGACCCAGCATCATTTATTGAAAAGGCCTCAGTGGCAGATTAGGTATTATTATTAATTATGTATCGATGTGGGGCAATTAATAGACTGGCCATTTTTTTAATTATACTTTAAGTTTTAGGGTACATGTGCGCAATGTGCAGGTTTGTTACATATGTATACATGTGCCATGTTGGTGTGCTGCACCCATTAACTGGTCTGCCATTTTTACCCTTTGTCTATATTTCTATTACTGAACAGATACCACAGTATATTAATTTCTGTAGCCTTATAAAACGTTTTGATATTAGGTAGAATAATCATCCTATCTTGTTTTTTTTTCTTTATTTTTGTTTTCAAGTTTTCCTGTTTTTGATTCTTTGCATTCCTGTAGAAATTTTAGACTCTGCTTTTAATTTCACAAACAAAACTTCTGTAATTTTAAAACTGAGATTCAGTAAGTATTCAGCTCAATTTAGGGAAAAATTATAACTTAAAGATTACTTTTTTGCTTTATTATTACAATTTTTGCATTGAATTTTTTTGTTGCCGTTATTTGTATTTGAGTTATGGGACATTAAAAAAAGTACAGAAAATTCCTGTGTATCCTTCACCCAGCTTGTCCCAACGATACTATCTTATATAACCATAGTACATTATCATACCCAGGAAATTCACTTTGATAGAGTACTATTAACTCATTCAAATTTCACCAGTTGTTACATGTATTTTGTGTGTGTGTGGTTGTTTGTAGAATTCGACGAAATTTTTCACACGTGTAGATTTATGTAACCGTCACCCCAATCAGGATACAGAACTGTTTTATTACCGCAAAGAAACTTCCTCTTGTTATTTCTCAATAGTCAGTCACATCCTCTCCCCAAACCTCCTAACCCCTGGAGACCAAAGATCGGTTCTACATCACTATAATTTCATTGCACAGATAAAGATAGAGATATAAAACATACAATATGTGAACTTTTGAGATTGGCTTTTCTTTTTTTACAAAGTACAATGCCCTTGAGTTCTATCCAGGTCATTGTATGTGTCAATAATTTCTTCTTTTTAATTCCTGAATAGCATTCTAGTGTCTAATTGTACCAAAGTTTGTTTATGCACTTGTATTGAAGGACATTTGTGTTGTTTATAGGTTTTGCTATTACAAATGAAGCTGCTATGGACATTCATGTCAGGTTTTTGAACGACTGTAAGTTTTTATTTCTCTAGGATAACTATGCAGGAACATGGGGTTGTAAAATGAATCATTGCCATCCTTGTGTTGTATAATAAATGTGTATTTAATTTTTGTATTTTTAGTAGAGACGGGGTTTCATCATGTTGCCCAGGATGGTTTCTGTCTCCTGACCTCATGATCCACCCACCTTGGCCTCCCAAAATGCTGGGATTACAGGAGTGAGGCACTGTGCCCAGCCAGTTGTACCATTTTTTATTCCCACCAGCAATTTTTGAAATACCCAGTTGCATTGCATCTTCTTTAGCACTTGGTATTGTCAATATTTTTATTCTGATAGGTATGTAGTTTATTTTATCACAGATTTAATTTTCATTATAAAAATATTTTGGAAACCATTTTAGTGTTTTTGTTTGTTTTGCTTATTTAGCTGTTAATCCTATTTGATGAAATGTCTCTTAATGTTTTTATCATTTATTTTCACTGTTGACTTTTAGTGTTCTTTAAACATTCTAGAGAATAGCCCTTTGTCACATTTATGATTTGCATATATTGACATACATATATTTCATTCATGAGTTGTCTGTTTAACCCTTTGACTCCTAGTCTGATTGGATTTAGTTTTTATTTACTGTTAAATGTATAGAGTTATCTGTATATTTTCTAAATAAGTCTTTTGACAGAGATGTGATTTGTAAATATTTTCTCCTAATCTCCCTTTAACAGTACAAAAGCTTTTAATTTTCATGAAGTCCTACTTAGACAGTTTTTCTTAATGGGTCATGTCATTGCTGTCATGCCCAAGAATTATTTGCCTAACCCCAAGTCATAAAGATTTTTCTTCTATATCTTCTAAAATTTTTATTCTTATTTATAACTTCAAGTTTTATTTTAGATTCAGGGGGGTACAGGTGCAGTTTTGTTAAATGTTATATTACATGTTACTGAACTTTGGGGTACAAATTCTGTCATCCAGATAGTGAGCATAGCACCCAATAGGTAATTTTTCACCCCACGTTTCCCCCTCCTTAACCTCTTTGGTAGTCTTCAGTGTTTTTTGTTCCCATGCTTGTGTCCTTCTGTACTCAGTGTTTGGCTTGCACTTATAAGTGAGAACATTCACTATTTACTTTTCTGTTCCTGCTCTCAGCTTGAATGTTATTGGTGTATAGAAATGCTATTGATTTTTGTCTGTTTATTTTGTATTCTGAAACTTTGCTGAAGTTATCAGTTCTAGGAGCCTTTTGGCTGTGTCTTTGGGGTTTTCTAGGTATAGAACCATATCATCAAAGAAGAAAGATAATTTGACTTCTTCTTTTTTTAAAACATTTTACCTCCCCCAACTAGTGTGAGTGATGATGGAGAGGTCGTATTACTCTCCATCATCACTAGCATTTGGCATTTGAATATTTTTAATTTTAATCCTTCTAGTTGTGGTATCTCTATGTCATTTTAAAATATTGCATTACCTGGAGAATAATGAAGTTCAGCACCTTCTTAGATGCTTACCTGTCATTGATATATGTTATTTTAAGAAGAGTATCTTTATATATTTTGCCAAAATATTTTTGTTTTTATTTATTTCATTCAGTTTAAATTTTTTTATTTATTCTGGGCAAAAATATTTTGTCAAACATCTGTACTATAAATATTTTTTCCTCCCTTTTGGCTAGCCTGTTTATTATTTTAATGGTATGTTTTGCACAGCAGAGATTTTTATTTTTGTAAAGTCCAATGTATAATTTTTTTCATAGAATTAGTGGGCTTTTCTTATGTATTTTCTCTACAAAAAAAATACGCTTCAAGAATTAAAGGGTAGCGTCTTATTTTTTAGTGCTTTATAGATTTATTATTTATATTAGTCCATAGATCAATTGAGAGAGATTAGTGGTTTTTCAAGTGTATCATTATTTAGGCAAAACATGTTATCTACATATTAATTTTTCTATAGTATATCTAAGCAAATTTTTATGGAATCAAACATAAACATCTTGCATAGATTTTCATATATTTATTTTTATGCATTTTGTTATTTGGTTTAATCAAAATGTTTATTTAAAAATTTTTTGTTAGCCGGGCATGGTGGCTCATGCCTGTAATCCCAGCACTTCCGGAGGCTGAGGTGGGTGGATCACCTGAGGTCAGGAGTTCAAGACCAGCCTGGCCAACATGGTGAAACCCCATCTCTACTAAAAATACAAAAAAAAAAAAAATTAGCCAGGTCTGGTGGCATGCACCCCAGCTACCCAGGTGTAATCTCAGCTATCTGGGAGGCTGAGGCAGGAGAATCACTTGAGCCAGGGAGGCGGAGGTTGCAGTGAGCCGAGATCATGCCACTGCACTCCAGCCTGGGCCACAGAGTGAAACTCCATCTCAAAAAAAAAAAAATTTATTTGGTTTAATCAAAATGTTTATTTTAAAATTTTTAAATATAATTGTAGAAATAAATACAATGTATTTTGTTTTGAACGTACTCTGTCTTCTGCTACTTTTCCAGATTTGTTTATGTTTTACATTATATTTGAGGTTTTTATTTTTTCAATTAGGCTAAAAGCTTCTAGATAAAAAGAAGGGTAAAAGAAAAAATTACAATGAAAAGCCTTAAAAAACAAACAAAAAATAATAAGCATGTAATTTATCAAATTATTTAGTAACAAAAAATCTCAGCCCATATGGTTTCAGTAGTATACTCAATCAATTATATGAGGGAAAAAATAATACTACTAATATTACACAATCATTTAATAACATAGAATAGGAAGGAACCTATCCCAACTCATGTTGTCAACAAAACATTGATATCATGATGTGAGAAATTACACTAAATAATACATATCAGTGTCCATTATTAATATACATGCATCATTACCTCCTGGTTGGTACAAAGGCTACCTCTAGAAGTGTGAGTGAAGACCATCTGGGGAGCAGTAGTGAGGTACCTCTCTGCCACAAGGTGTCAAGTGAGACCATGTGGAAAACCTGGGCTTGCATTGCTGCCAGGCTGTAACCATGTGACAGCTCTCTTCTTCCACCAGTAAGGTGTCAGAGAAGATTGAGTAAAATAGAAGGTTTAAATAAGATCCAAATTTAAAAGCACAATAATAGAAATGCCCAGAATACAATTGAAAATAGCTTCTTATACAAATAAATGAGAAAATGACAACCTGAAAATCATGACTAACAAGAGGTTGATGGTGAAAATATAGGTGTTCAATTTCTCTGACAAGGATTTTAGTAGAGATATAAAAATGACAAAGCAAGTAAGTTTAAATACAGCTGAAATAAATAAGAAGACTCAACAAAGAAATAAAGCATCACAATAAAGAAATAAAACATTGAAAAAGAATGAAATGGATATTGTTGAACTGCAAGATACATCACCCAAAATTTTTAAAAAATTACTGTCTGGGCTAAATGGAATTTGTCACCTCCTGCCTCGCAAGAGGTCCTGAAGGGAGTGCTAAATATGGAAGAATATGGAAAAGAAAGATGATTACTGCCACAAAAACAAACACAGAAACCACACACACATAAGTAGAGACCATTGACACTATAAAGCAACCACACGAACAAGTCTGCATAATAAGCTGCTAACAATACAATGACAGGATCAAATACACACATCTCAATATTAATGTGGAATTCAAATGGGCTAAATGCCCCGAATTAAAAGGAACAGAGTGGCAAGTTGGATAAAAGCCAACTGTATGCTATCTTCAAGAGATCCATCTCACATGCCAGGACATCCGTAGGCTCAGCATAATGGGATGGAAGAAAAATCTACCACGCAAATGGAAAACAAAACAAAACAAAAAAGCAGAGGTTACAATCTTAAAATCAGACAAAACAGACCAACAAAGCCAACAAAGATCAAAGAAGACAAAGAAGGAGGAGACATAATGGTAAAGGTTTCAGGTCATCAAGAAGACCTAACCATGTTAAATGTATATGCACCCAACACAGAACCATCCAGATTCATAAAGCAAGTTCTTAGAGACCTATGAAGAGACTTCGATAACCACATAACAGGGGAAGACTTCAACAACCCATTGACAGTGTTAGACAGATCATCCAGGCAGAAAACTAACAAATATATTTGGGACCTGAACTTGATACTTGACCAAATGGACCTAATAGACATCTACAGATGTCGCCCCCTCCAAACAACAGAATATACATTCTTCTCATATGTACCTGGCACATACTCTAGAATCAACCACACAATCAGCCACAAAACAATCCTCACTCAATTAAATAAACAAACACATAAATTATACCAACTACAGGGCAATGAAAATAGAAATGAATACTAAGAAGATGGCTCAAAATACACATTTACATGAAAACTCAACAACCTGCTTCTGACAACTTTTGGGTTATAATGAAATTAAGACAGAAATCAAGGCATTCTTTGAAACGAATGAGTACAAAATTATAACATACCAGAATCCCTGTAACACAACTAAAGTGCTGTTAAAAAGAAAGTTTATAGTGTGAAATGCCCGTATAAAAAATTAGAAAGATCTTGAATTAACAACCTAACATTACACCTACAGGAACTAGAGAAACAAGAGCAAACCAAAACCAAAGCTAGCAGAAGACAAGAAATAACCAAAATCAGAGTTGAACCAAATGAAGTTGAGATGCCGAAAATTATACAAAAGACCAATGAATCCAGAAATTGGTTTGTTGAAAGAGTAAATAAGATGGATAGAATGCTAGCTAGACTAAAAGAGAAAATAAAGAGAAAATTCAAATAAACAAAATCAGAAATAACAAGGGGTACATTACAAATCAACCCCAAAGATATTTTTAAAAAAACATAGACAATTATGAATACCTATATGCACACAAATTAGAAAACCTACAAGAAATTTATACATTCCTGGAAATATGCAACCTCCCAAGATTGAACCAGGAAGAAATGGAAATCCTGAACAGACCAATATTTAGTTCCAAATTGAATCAATACTAAAAAGCCTACCAACTAGAAAAAGCCCAGGAGCAGAAAGATTCACAGCCAAATTCTATCAGATGTAAAAGAAGAGCTAGTTGCAATCCTACTGAAACTATTGCAAAATAATTGAGGAGAGGAACTTCTCTCTAACTCACTCTATGAGACCCAAATAATTCTAATACCAAAACTTCACAGACACACACAAAAGAGAAAAATTCAGGCCAATATTTGGATAAACATAAATGCAAAAATCCTCAACAGAATACTAGCAAACCAAATCTAGCAGAACATCAAAAAGCTAATCTACCACAATCAAGTAGGGTTATTCCTGGGATGCAAGATTTGTTCAGTATACACAAATCAATAAATGTGATTCATCACATAAACAGAAAATCAATAAATTTGATTCAACACATAAAAGCCACATAGTCATCTCAAAAGATGCAAAAAAGGCCTTGGATATTCAGCATAACATACCTTCATGTTAAAATTCCTCAGCAAACTGGGCATTAAAGAAACATATTCAAAAATAATAAAAGCCATATACAACAACTCCATAGCCAACATCATACTGGATAGTCAAAACCTGGAAGCATTCTCTTTGAAAACTTAAACAAGACAAGGATACCCTTTCTCATCACATTTATTCAACATAATTCTGGAAGTCCTAACCAGAGCAATTAGGCAAGAGAAAAAAATGAAAAACATTTAAACAGGAAGAGAGGAAGTCAACATATCTCTCTTCATAGATGATAACATTCTATATCTGGAAAACCCCATAGCCTTTGTCCAAAATATCCCTGATCTGATAAACTTCAGCAAAGTTTCAGCATACAAAATCAATGTACAAAAAACAGTGGCATTTCCATACACCAATAGCAGCTAAGGTAAGAGTCAAACCAGGAACTCAATCCCATTCACAAGGACCATGACAAGAATACAGCTAACCAGGGTAGTGAAAGGTCTCTACAATGAGAGATATAAAACACTGATCAAAGAAATTGGAGATGACACACACAAATGGAAAAACTTTCCATGTTCATGGATAGGAAAAAATCAATATTGTTAAAATGGCCCTACTGCCCAAAGCAATTTACAGATTCAATAGTATTCCTAGGTCAAACTACCAATGACATTCCTCACATAATTAGAGAAAACAATTTTAAAATTCATATGGAATCAAAAAACAACCCAAATAGCCAAAGCAATCCTAAGCCAAAAGAACAAAGCTGGAGGCATTGCACTACCTGACTTCAAACTATACTACAAGGCTACAATAATCAAAACAGCATGTTACTGGTACAACAACAGACACATAGACCAATGGAACAGAATGGAGAGCCCAGAAATAATGCCGTACACCTACAGCCATGTGATTTTCACCAAAGTCTACCAAGATAATCAATAGAGAAATGACTTCCTGTTCAAAAAATGGTGCTGGGATAACTGTCTAGTCAAATGCAGAAGATTGTAACTGGAACCCTTCCTCAAATCACATACAAAAGTCAACTTTAGATGGACTAAAGACTTAAATGTAAAACATAAAACTATAAATACTCTGAAAACTAATTTAGGAAATGCCATTCTGGATATAGGACCTGGCAAAGATTTTACAACGAAGATGCCAAAATTGATTGCAACAAAAAAAAACCATAAATTAACAAGTGGAACCTAATTAAATTAAAGAGCCCTTGCAGCAAAAAAGAAATTATTAAAGGAGAAAACACAAACTACAGAATGGGATAAAATATTTGCAAATATGCATGCAACAAAATTTACTATCCAGAATCTACAAGAAATTTAATCAAATTAACAGAAAACAAACAACTCCAATAAAAAGTGGGCAAAGGACATGAATAGACCCTTTTCAAAAGATGACATTCATGTTGCCAATAAGCATATGGAAAAGTGCTCAACATCACTAATCGTTAGAGAAATGCACAACAAAACCGCAATGAGATATCATCTCATACCAGTAAGAATGGATATTATTAAAAAATCTAAAAATAACAAATGATGGTGAGGTTGCAGAGAAAAGGGAACGCTTATACACCCTTGGTAGGAATGTAGATTAGTTCAACCATTGTGGAAAGCAGCTTTGTGATTTCTCAAAGAACTTAAAACTGAACTACCATTCGACCCACCCATCTCAATATTACTTGTATACCCAAAGGAGTATACATTGTTCTATAGTAAAATAACCTGCACATGTATGTTCATTCCAGCACTATTCACAGTAGTGAAGACATGGAATCCACCTCCATGCCCATCAATAGTAGACTGGATAACAAAAATGTAGTACATATACACCACGAAATACTATGCATCCATAAAAAGACTGAGATTATGTCCTTTGCAGCAACATGGGAGAAGTGGAGGCCATTAGTCTAAGCAAAGCAACAAAGGAACTACAAACCAAATACTGCATGTTCTCACTTATAAGTGGGAGCTAAACATTAAGTACACATGGACACACAGACAGGAACAACAGACACCGGGGCCTACTTGAGGGTGGAAGGTGAGAGACAATGAGAAACCACCTACTGGGTACTATGCTTATTACCTGCATGACAAAATAATCTGTACATGAAACCTCTGTGACCTACAATTTACCTGTATGACAAATTTGCACATATACCCCAAAAACTAGAAATTAAAAAACATACTAAACGAAAGGGTTCAGGGAGCTTCTGTGTCAGCAAACACATTTACATACCCTGAGAGTGGCACACCCCAAGTCCACAGAGATGTTACCAAACGAAACTCAAGTCAGCCTGCCTGATACAGCAAAGTCAAATGCCGACATGCAGATTGCCGCAAAAGAAAAGGAGGAATTTATTACAGGGGGCCAAGCAAGGAGAAGTGGGCAGCTAATGCTTAAGATCTGAACTCTCTGATGGATGGCTTACAGGTAAGTTTTTAAAGGCAGGGAGACAGAGGTTACAGGCAAAGTCATAAATCAGTATATTGACATTATATATGGGCTTAACCTGAAAATATGGGACATCTCAAAGTCAGGGCCCACACATCTTAGGTAGAGTCAAACATTTTCTGATTTGTGATTGGTTAACGAGGCAAAGTTTTGTCTAAAAAATTGGAATCAGCAGAAAAGAATTTTAGCTCTCATCCATGGGTGTGACTTCCTCCAGGCCTCTCAGGAAGAAATTCAGAAGAAAAAGTGGTGGTCTGAGTTCTGTCCTCAGTTCCTCCTTATCTGAGGTCTATGTGCCAGTAGATCTATTTAGTGGGGTTCCAGGTTTCTGAAAAACAACTCATGAACATATGGAAAGATGTTATTTTAGTTTTTATAATGGAACTAAACATTCTGTGATTTTTAACTTCCTTGGCTATTGCATTAGGCAATTATTACCTTCTTACTTATGAAGTTGCTTGTTTATTTCTCAGTACTAGCTAGGTGCCTGGAATTTCCCTGAAGGAACTTAAGCTTTTCCTTTATCTCTGTACTTGGAGGAACTTGCAGGTCACTAAGAGGGGTCCCCGCTTCATCTCATGCCCCATTACCCAACTTCTGGGGAGGTGGGGGCTGTAGATTGAGTCAATTACCAATAGCCACATTAATGTCTATATAATGAAACCACCATAAAACCCATAATGAAAGGGTTCAGGGAGCTTCTGAGTTGGCAAACACATTTACTTGCCCAGAGGATTGCAGACCCCAACTCCACAGACAGGAGCTCGCGGGCTTGGGATTCTTCTGGAACTTCCCAGATGTACCTCTTCATCTGACTCTTCATTTGTATCCCTTATAATAAACTATAATAGTGAGTGTAGCATTTTCTTTATTTTCATGCTTCATTCTAGCCAGTTATATAACCTGAAGCAGAGTGGTTGTGAGAACCTCCAACTTTGTATCCAAATCAGGTAGAAGTAACCTGGATACCCCCTACTTGAGACTGACGTCTGAAGGGAAGGCAGTCTTGTGGGATTGATTTCTGCGACATCTGGAGTCTGATGCTCCAGACTGCAGTAAGTGTCAGGACTAAATTAAATAGTAAGACACTTAGTTGGTGTGAGAGTTGGAGAAGTAGTATTGGAAAAGACACTGTGAATTTGATTTCAAAAGAAAAAAAAGTTTCGCTATTTTTGTTTTGTTTCCAATTATTATAAAACTGGTTTATGTCTTACTTGGCACGGACAGAAATTCTTTACATGTCTGCTTGACATAACAACGTCACAGATTCTGGACCGTAATTTATGGTAAATGGCAAATCAAACACAGAAGCATTCACCCAGAGCACTAAATAGTCTTTGGGCAGAACTATTAAACACCAAAAGAACAGGCTACCCTGTCCTTATCTTATTTTCTTTTAGATAAGTTTTTATAATATTTAGACCAGAATCAACATTACTCTGCCTTAGAGGGATTTTTTTTTCTTTCAGAACAATCACAATAATGATATCAATGAACATGGATAGAGAATATACTATGGGCCAGATAGTCTCCCAGGTGGTTTACAAGTATTTTATTTATTCCTTTCAATAATGCTACAAAGCAAGCAATTTTATTATGCATCTTTTATAGGAAAGGAACATGAAGATCATGTTATCCAAAAATCATGAAATGGGTAAGGAATAGAAGCTAGATTCAAAACAAAACACAAAAACATTTAAACATTTAAACATGCAAAGTTGGGAATTGATTAGTTTATAGGCTATCAAAGCATTGTGACCCAGTTCAAAATAGTTGAAATTCCCCTTCAGATTTTTTTATAAAAGGCAGTATTTCTCAAAGTGTAATCCATAAGTATTCTGAATGATTCAGATGTTCCTCAACCTTTAAGAACCACAAATCTATGATGTGAACATCAAAGTTCTTTCACTCTGCTACCTCATGACAGTTAATATAAATATGGTATTTAAAACCGTTAGCATTGTTTACATTGCTATATTAATGTAGAAGTTCACAGAACAAACAGCTAATTAAAAGATTAAATAACACGCATGTAAATGCATGTAAAATGCCGAGCATATTCACTAGCATGTAGAAATGTTCAATAAATGAAATATATTATTATTATCATGATACAATTACAGAAAATTAAAAACTTATTTCAGGTAATTAAGTCATATTTATTCAGTTCAGGGATTGTCAATGATCAGAATTCTGGATTTTGTCTTTACTAATTCATTGCACTTGCTATCCTTAGCCAGGGACATATCTGTTCATCTTCCCAATCACAGTCGTTTTGCTTTTACCAAAACTTGGATGCTAAATTAGTTCACTACATATATTCACCCTTAGGAAATACTGAAATCTGTATTCCCTTGCCAAAGGTGATTTACCTTTCCAAGTGGCATAGCTCCAGGGAAGATATTTGGTTGTTGGAAACTTTCAGTGACCACATAGGATTTTTAACTAAATAGAGCATGAGACCAGAGGCACAAAGCAGTATCCACAACACTAAGATTAAGCAAACATTTGTACTCAAACCATCAGAAAGATTCAGTCCCATATATATGTCACACTGGCTGTGATTCTCCACTACAAAGGTGAGTCTAATTTGTTTGAGAATTATTTTTCCTTTACTTTAGGCAGTAATTTCAAATTACTCATATTTATTATGTATTTGGCATTCTACATATGAATTTTGAATTGTAAAGTAACCTTTGTAAAGTTGAGGGACAAATCACACAAAGTAAATGTTTTCCTGTCATCCACGGGGTGTTTTGAATATGTAAGATGCAGTCTGTGTCTACCCAGAACCAAAAAGCCAAAAATTCTTGAATAAAGTTGTTAATTAAGTCAAATGATTGAATTTGTATTAGAGGATTCTTTTCTACTGAACAGTGTGGCTGTTTCAATATTTTCCCCATGTTATATCAATAGCTTGTGGACATACAGACACTGCCTTTGTGGAGGGTAGGATGTCAGAAAGAAGAGAAAATAAGATTGTTGAGTGGAACTCTATTGTTCCAGAACAGTGATCTGTGTCTGTTTTCAAGTAAGTATGAATGTGGGGAAGGGGATGATAATCAGTTTACCTACCAGCTTCAGAAAGGGCATGGTTTTGAAGTTAATAGACACAACATTCCTCACCTACATCTAAAGAAATTGCCTAGAAGAGCTAAGAAAGACAAATAGAAGTAAATATAAATATACATACTAGAAATATATATAAATATATGTAGAAAAATATATAAATATATATTTTATACATAAAATATAAAAATATTAGAATGTTTTAAGTCCAGCTATCCTATTTAATAGCTTAGAATTAATAACAGCCCATGAATTGACTTGAAGAAGAAATATTTATAAGCATCTGTTCACATTATTATAATTTGCTGAGTTAATATAGCCTTTAGTTGATGGATTAATGGTCCACTTGACAAATAAATATAGCTGTATATTTACAATGCCAAAAAATCCTTTATTCAAAAAATACATTGGATGGTAATTAGTAAAAACAGTCAAGCTGCAATAGCTCTGTATACCTGAAAGAAGAATTACTACAGTTAAACCAAATTTTCTATTAAATTATCTGACTGATACAATGTGCTGAAAAGTCTCATCTATAACAATATTATACATCATAATTTTTCACAGCTTAGGATGATGCTGGTTTATTTATTTTTGTTAACTTTTAATGTTAAAGAAAAAAACAATGGTTCCAAATTAAAGTGATGTTTACTCTTTACCTCTGTCTGTAGAGAAGAGAATTCAATTTTGAATAAGTATAACCATTCAGAATGAAAAAGTATAAGCATTTAGAGAATCTAAGAATTTTCAGATCTTAGACTTTCACCATCATGTCACCATAGCCTTCAGTTCAATAATCTAATTAATATTTTATGCTGTGATTGTCAAGCTTCTGAATACGTCAAAATATGGCACCATAAAATGAACTAAACTAATAAATTAAATTAAAAATTAAAATTTTGTTTTGGTGTGCAATATGACATTAAAAAAACTATTTTCAAACTCTGTTATATGCAAAAATCATGTAATTTCTTTTTAGTAATCTTTTTAGAAAGTTCAGTATTGATCTGTGGCCTGTTAGGACCTGGGCTGCATAGGAGGTGAGCGTCAGGTGAAGGAGCATTACCCACTGAGCTCTGCCTCCTTCAGATCAGCAGCAGCATTAGGTTCTCATAAGAGTGTGAGTCCTATTGTGAACTGCACGTGTGAGGGATCTATATCACATGCTTTTTATGAGAATCTAATGCCTGATGATCCGAGGTGAAACAGTATCATCCCGAAACCATCCCCTCTCCTACAACCCCCATCTGTGGAAAATGTTGGGGACCGCTGATTTAAAAACATATGAGTAAACAAAACAAAAGAAAACAAAAATGTTAAGTAACTTTCCCCTTATATCATAATATAAAATGACAGAAATGATTCTTTTTTCCCATGATTTAATGTTTACCTTTTTCTTAGCACAAATAAAAGTCATGTAACTTTTCAGGTAGAAAATGTTATTTCACATACTTCCTAAAATCATGACACATACCAGCAATGGTACACCTACTGTAATCTGGAAAAAGCTGACTAGACACAGGTGATTTTTTTTTTTTTGGTGCTTCTCTGCACACTCTATTTTATTATTCTATTTTATTTTACTCTGAGTTCTGGGATACATGTGCCAAACATGCAGGTTCATTACACAGGTATACACGCGCGATGGTGGTTTGGACAACAGTGATTTTTAAACAAGGACTTTTTAATATCAAGTCCTGCCCTCCTTTATCCATGCATTCTGCATTAATAAAAGGAGTCTGATGGTGGTTTAAAGTTATAATGGAGGCAGTGGAAGCCTGTGGTCAAGGAGTCAGTGGGCTGTGGCAATCACATGAGAAAGATACTTTAAATAGTATGTAAAATAAAGGGACTGCATACACTACATAGGAAGACAGTAATGCAACCAACAAGGCTTGGCACAGGCTTGGCACATGTAGTGTCTTTGCCTATTTTGCCTGTTTTATTGTCCTATAATCTTTGTTTATTTCCCTGATAGCCAATGCTTAAATAAGCCATCTCAAAGACGCTGGTGTTACTGTGTGTTTGTGTCTGCTCACATCTGAATGCTCATATAGTGGATGTAGTAATTTAACCAGTCATTGGCACTGCCTTTCTGAAGGCCCTGAATGAGACCATCTGTGTATGAGATGAGGTCTAAAATCCTGCAAATATACAAAGGCATGACATTTGCGAATATTCTATGAATAAAAGTGGGAAATTAGCTCTTTGCCTCTTTGTGCTCTTCTCTTTATGAGTTGACAAGTTCTCTTCTTTGTATGGAGTTTAAAAATGGTAAACACTAAAAAACTTTTTTTTATGTTCAATATGTAACAGTCCTCAACCTGCAAAAGCTTTCTAAATGAAGTTGTACACATTTTTGTTAGCTCAGTTACTTTGATTGTGTCTCCTAAGAAAATAAATCGATTTTGTTAAATATTTTAAAAATCTGAAACAGACAGGCCAAATATCAATTTAAGTATTTACAATAATAGTGGCTTTTTAATTTGCAAATCTTTTCGATAACTTGTCTGTGACCAATAGCAACACTCAACCATTTTTAAGCTGTTTCCTATCCTTTTCTTACTCGAAGTACTACTTACTCATTATAGTTACTACTACTCTCCCCCAGCATTTATCAATATCAAAGATTCTCTCATGCTTCCCTCTCATATTCACCCAGCCTTTCTAGGTCTCCATGGCAGTATACTGCATGGCAAAATGTTGTGTGAGGCATGTCTACAAGCCACTGTAAGTGTGGGATAGAATTCTGAATTTTATTTGAAGAGTGAAGGGCAGATGCTAAAGGTTTCAAAGCAGGAGGAGGTAAACTAGAATGACTGCATTTAACAGTAAGACAACTAAGAAGGTATGTAGTGGGAGGAAGGAAAAAAATTTCATCAGTTGTGTGAGATATTATTGTTCTTCAAAGGAAAAAATGTTTTATTTACACTCACATATTCCATTATGTGGTCCTTGTGTAACCTAAAATAAAGCAACTGTAACTTCTTGTTTAGTTTTTAAAAGACCTATCTTGAATATGTTTGGGTTTCCAAAAGTTGAATATAAATAAACTGTGACTCAAATCTAAATGAGACACTTTTAAGTCAGTGTTTCCTTCCTTTTTCCATCAGTATACATAACAAAAACACAATAATATTAATACGAGTAATATAAAAATCATAACACTTTACCACTAATTCTTGAGAGTTGAAAAAATATTTTTATTCATTTTGATCTGTAAATATACTCCTGTTTGTAGTACACGATCTCAGTTAAAACATTAAAAAGTTGAGCTACAGAGAAGTGAATGCCAGGTCAGGAAAAGCCATGCTCACTGGGAGTTAGGGCTTTGAATCACTACCTGGGATAACATACCCAGTACGTATGTCCGGAAACTGTGCAGTCAAACAGTTATTCAGACCATAAAAGCCTCTTCCTTCTCTATTTTTCCATTTGCACCATCACACCAGGGGAAATTATGGAGATGAGAAATACTACCCCAGATTTTATTCTCCTAGGACTCTTTAACCACACCAGAGCCCACCAAGTCCTCTTCATGATGGTTCTGAGTATCGTTTTGACCTCCCTGTTTGGCAATTCCCTCATGATTCTCCTGATTCACTGGGACCACCGGCTCCACACGCCCATGTACTTCCTCCTGAGCCAACTTTCCCTCATGGACATGATGCTGGTTTCCACCACTGTGCCCAAAATGGCGGCTGACTACTTGACCGGAAGTAAGGCCATCTCCCGCGCTGGCTGTGGTGTGCAGATCTTCTTCCTCCCCACACTGGGTGGTGGAGAGTGCTTCCTCTTAGCAGCCATGGCCTATGACCGCTATGCGGCTGTCTGCCACCCACTCCGATATCCCACTCTCATGAGCTGGCAGCTGTGCCTGAGGATGACCATGTCGTGTTGGCTCCTGGGTGCAGCTGACGGGCTCCTGCAGGCTGTTGTTACCCTGAGCTTCCCATATTGTGGTGCACACGAGATCGATCACTTCTTCTGCGAGACCCCCGTGCTGGTGCGTTTGGCTTGTGCTGACACTTCAGTCTTCGAAAACGCCATGTACATCTGCTGTGTGTTAATGCTCCTGGTCCCCTTTTCCCTCATCCTGTCCTCCTATGGTCTCATCCTCGCTGCTGTTCTGCACATGCGCTCTACAGAAGCCCGCAAGAAGGCCTTTGCCACCTGCTCTTCACATGTGGCTGTGGTGGGACTCTTTTATGGAGCTGCCATTTTTACCTATATGAGACCCAAATCCCATAGGTCCACTAACCATGACAAGGTTGTGTCAGCCTTCTATACTATGTTCACCCCTTTACTAAACCCCCTCATCTACAGTGTGAAGAACAGTGAGGTGAAGGGAGCCCTGAAACGGTGGCTGGGGACGTGTGTAAACATAAAACACCAGCAAAATGAGGCCCACAGGTCAAGATGATCTAATGTCAAATGAGTCTAAGTTCCTGAATTTATTAATATTTTAACACATTGTTATTCTCTCCCTTTAGCAATTCATGCAGAGAAAATTAAGTTTTTGCATTGATATAATAGGATATTTTTAAGAATTAAGTGAGCTAATTGTATTGAGAGATACCATTTTTAGCATTTATGTACTTTTCTTCAAGTGAAGTAGTATCTATGGATTACTTTGTATCCTACAACAACCCCATGATATAAGTACTGTTGACAATATCTCCTACTTTCTAAAAAAAGAAATTAATGCATGGAAAGGTAAATATTGTTCCCAATTTCACACAGCACGGAAATAATAAGAAGTGACTCCAGAGCTTGTTCCTTAACCTGGAATAGTTTATTTCTGTTCAATAATGTATTTTGAGTGTTATTTCATAGGTGTATGCTCTACAATTAAAAACTAAATATGAGGACTCCACCAAAGAAAAATATTATTTTTATGTTATATTTTAAAATATAGATGCATGACAAAAGGGAAAGTCCACAACTCAAATGTAACTGCTATATTGCCACAATTTTTTTGTATTTTTTCAACAGTCTATTTGGTGTTTAAACGTAAGCCTTTTTTAATTTATGTAACCTTTCATTTAAGTATTTTTTTTTCCAGGGCCTCATTGTAATTGAATTGGAAAATTGTTTTAAACTACAACTAAGTTCTGTTTTCTACACCTGCTTTAAGGTTACCTTGACTTATTGACATACCTCCATCGATATGAACTCTGAATTGCATAATCATGCTGAATCTTGACAGTTACTAACAATGAATTATCAAAACTGAGTAACACTCAACAACCTTATACATTATTGTGTCACCACCTTACTTCTGCCAAGACATAGGTAATTAGAGGTATTTCTGTTGAAAAATTTGGGACACCTTCTAAAGATCTGGGGTTTGCAAAACAAAAAAAAAGAAGACTATTCTATTAATAAAGACACAAGCTAGATAGTGATGGCAGAAAGCTGTGGTTATCAAAGCCAAATTGTAACCAGAGACTGGATATCAAATCGTCTTAGAGAGTTTTATGATAAAGGCTATATTTCCTGTATGTAAAACACACTTAAGAAATAATATAAGTTTTAAACACACAGTGGGACATAACTAAGAGCTTCCAGGGACAGTGTATCTTCAATATAAGTGTCTGAAAGTTAACCTGCCATTTCTGGCCATCCTGAATTTCAAAAGGGACTTGTTTTAGAACAAATGAAAGGAGTTTTCTGCTTCATCTAGAGCTTCAGGTTCCAAAGCAGTAATATATTTAAGATAGTACCTTAACCAGTGCATGCAGATCCTGAGCCTATGTCTCAAGAGAAGGTTATTCAGTAACTCTTTTCTCCTTGGAAGACTTGAGGATGAAAGGAGAGAGTGTCATCTGTTTGATACTTTTGTTTGCTACTCTTGTTAATTTTATCTCCTTACCCAGTGTTAGGGTGAGAAAGGAGCAGAACTGCACAAATTCTGTCATTTATACCATCTAAAAAAATCTTCTCTTAGAATGGGTGAAATTTACACAAGTAAATGTAGTCATGGAAATTTCATTACTCATACCAGGTTCATTCACCATCAGAGAAATTATTTTAGAACATGTTGAGCTAAAAATGGTAAACTAAGCCTATAAAATTTTGTAAGGATAAAATATTCTAACCAGAAAATTAAGCCTAATATACAGGAGAAAACTAAAACAACTAGCATTTGGCATTTGAATATTTTTAATTTTAACCCTTCTAGTGGTGGTATCTTTATGTCATTTTAAAATATGCCATTACCTAGAGAATAATGAAGTTCAGTGCCTTCTTAGATGCTGACCAGTCATTGATATATGTAATTTTAAGAAGAGTATCTTTATATCTTTGGCCAAAATGTTTTTGTTTTTATTTATTTTACTCAGTTTTAAATTTTTTATTTATTCTGGACAAAAGTATTTTGTCAAACATCTGTACTATAAATATTTTTTCCTGCTTTTTGGCTAGCCTGTTTGTTATTTTAATGGTATATTTTTCAGAGCAGAGATTTTGATTTTTGTAAAGTCCAATATATAATTTTGTTTTCTACGATTAGTGGGTGTTTCTTATGTATTATCTCTATAAAAATTATATACTTCAAGAATGAAAGGATGGCATCTATTTTTTTAACATGAAATTAGCATTTTAATGTGAACAACTCAGTGGCATTTACTACATTCGCAATGTTGTACGACCATCATCACTAACTCCAAAACACTTCCATCACTCCAAAGTAAAACCCCTCATCCATTAAGCAGTTTTTCTCCCCATTTCAGCCCCTAGCAACTGCCAATCTGCATTTGGTCTCTCTGGATTTATCTACTGTAGATATTTTATGTAAACGGAATCATAAAAGATATGAGCTTTTATGTCTGGCTTCTTTCACTTTTTCTTTAAAATTATTCTTTAAGTTCTAGGGTACATGTGCACAACGTGCAGGTTTGTTACATATGCATACATGTGTCATGTTGGTGTGCTGCACTCATTAACTCATCATTTACATTAGGTATATCTCCTAGTGCTATCCCTCCCCGCTTCCCCCACCCCACAACAGGCCCCGGTGTGTGATGTTCCCCTTTCTGTGTCCAAGTGTTCTCATTGTTCAATTCCCACCTATGAGTGAGAACATGCTGTGTTTGGTTTTTTGTCCTTGCGATAGTTTGCTGAGAATGATGGTTTCCAGCTTCATCCGTGTCCCTACAAAGGACGTGAACTCATCCTTTTTTATGGCTGCATAGTATTCCATGGTATATATGTGCCACATTATCTTAATCCAGTCCATCATTGCTGGAAATTTGTGTTGGTTCCAAGTCTTTGCTGTTGTGAATACTGCCTCAATAAACATATGTGTGCATGTGTCTTTATAGCAGCATGATTTATAATCCTTGGGTATATAGGTGCTGGGAAAACTGGCTAGCCGTATGTAGAAAGCTGAAACTGGATCCCTTCCTTACACCTTATACAAAAATTAATTCAAGATAGAGACTTAAATGTTAGACCTAAAACCATAAAAACCCTAGAAGAAAATCTAGGCAATACCATTCAGGACATAGGCATGGGCAAGGACTTCATGTCTAAAACACCAAAAGCAATGGCAACAAAAGACAAAATTGACAAATGGGATCTAATTAAGCTAAAGAGCTTTTGCACAGCAAAAGAAACTACCATCAGAGTGAATAGGCAACCTGCAGAATGGGAAAAAAATTTTGCAATTTACTCATCTGACAAAGGGCTAATATCCAGAATCTACAAAGAACTCAAACAAATTTACAAAAAACAAACAAACAACCCCATCAAAAAGTGGGCGAAGGATATGAAGAGACACTTCTTAAAAGAAGACATTTTTGCAGCCAAAAGACACATGAAAAAATGCTCATCATAACTGGCCATCAGAGAAACGCAAATCAAAACCACAATGAGATACCATCTCACACCAGTTAGAATGGCGATCATTAAAGAGTCAGGAAACAACAGGTGCTGGTGAGGATGTGGAGAAATAGGAACACTTTTACACTGTTGGTGGCACTGTAAACTAGTTCAACCATTGTGGAAGACAATGTGGCGATTCCTCAAGGATCTAGAACTAGAAATACCATTTGACCCAGCCATCCCATTACTAGGTATATACCCAAAGGATTATAAGGCATCTTCTTTTTTAGAGCTTTATAGATTTAATATTTATATTAGAACACAGATCAATTTAGAGACATTTGTGGTTTTTAAGTGTATTATGTTTCAGTCAAAACATGTTATTTATCTACATATTAATTTTTCTATAATATTTCTAAGCAAATTTTATGGAATCAAGCATAAACATCTTGTATAGATTTTCATATATTTATTTTTATTTATTTTGTTATTTGGTTTAAGCAAAATGTTTATTTAAAAATTTTTAAATATAATTGTAGAATTAAGTGCAATGTATTTTGTTTTGGACTGTACTGTATGTTCTTTTTCACTTTTTCAGACTTGTTTACTTTTTCCATTAACTTTGAGGTTTTTTTTTCAATTAGGCTAAAAACTTCTAGATAAAAAGAAGAGAAAAAGAAAAAAATAACAATGAAAAGCCTAAAACAAACACACAAAAAATAATGATAATAATCACGTAATTTATCGAAATATTTAGTAACAAAAAAATCTTGGTCTGTATGGTTTCAGTAGTATACTCAATCAGTTATATAACGGAAAATAAAACTACTGCTATTACACAACCATTTAAGAACATGGAATAGGAAGGAACATATCCCAACTCATGTTATTTAACTAACAAAACATTGATATCATGGTATGAGAAATTACACTAAATAATACATATCAGTGTCCATTATTAATATACACGCTTCATTCCCCCCTGGTTGGTTAAAAGGCCACCTCTAGAAGTGTGAGTGGAGACCATCTGAGGAACAGTTGTGAGGTGCCTCTCTGCCACAAGGTGTCAAATGAGACCGTGTGGAAAACCTGGGCTTGCATTCCTGCCAGGCTGTAACCATGTGACAGCTCTCTTCCTCCACCAGTAAGGTGTCAGAGAAGATTGAGTAAAATAGAAGGTTTAAATAAGATCCAAAGTTAAAAGCGCAATAACCGAAATGCTCAGCATACAATTGAAAATAGCTTCTTATACAAATAATAAGAAAATGACAACCTGAAAATCATGACTAAGAGAGGTTGATAGTGAAAACATAGGTGTTCAATTTCTCTGACAAGGATTTTAATAGAGATATCATAAAAATGACAAAGTGATTAATTTTAAACACAGCTGAAATAAATAAATAGGAAGCCTCAACAAAGAAATAAAGCATGCCAATAAAGAAAGAAAAGGTTGAAAACAGAATGAAATGGATATCTTAGAACTGCAAGATATATCACCCAAAATTAAAAATATATATATTGGCTGAGCTAAACTACTAAATGGTAATAATATAGAAAATAATCAGTGAACATGAAGATAGCACAATAGGTATTTTTTCTTTCATTAATCAATAAAAGAAAGATAAAAAGTAAACTGAAAAAACAAATGAACAGAGACTCAGAAGTTTTGTGGAACTAAAACAAAAGACCTCATATCCATGTCATCAGAGCCTCAAAAAAGAATAGAAATAGTAGAGGCTAAAAAAGTCAAAAGTAATTTAAGAAAATAATGGCTGACAACTTCTCAAATTTAGTTAAGTGTAAATAAAAAAACCTATAGATTCAACAAGGTAGCCACCAAACTAGAGAACATCAAACAAGAAAACACCTGGGAAATCTACACTACAACATATCATAATCAAATTTCTAAAAACTAAATACAACAAAGAAAGTAACAACAAAAAAATGACACTTTATATAAAGGGGATAAATTGCTTAACAGTGGATTTCATGAAAACAGTGGGAACTATGGAAATCATGGAAACCAGGAAGAACTGACACCATATCTCTCAAGTGTAGAAATAAAAGAAATGTAAATCTTGATTTTGATTCCAGAGAACATATTATTGAAGAATAAAGAGGAAATAAAGACATCTTAAATAAAGAAAAATTAATACAATTTAGTACAAGCCACACAAATTGACAAGGAAGAAGTGTTACTTTATAATTATATACATTGAAATATATATGTGATATTAGAGATATTTAATGATTAAGAGTTAAAATTTTAAATAAGTAATATTAGCAGTAAAAAATTAAATTTTAATTTACATTTGTATCAAAAATAGATAAAATACTTAGTATTTTTTTATGTTGTGTATGATTTCTATACCAAAAATTATAAAAGTTAGCTGATAGAAATTTAAGAAGTACATGAATTGAATGAATTTCAATTTAACCTTTATATATTCAATTTAACAATCTATAGATTTAACCAGTTCCAATTTAATTTCAGTACACTACTTAATAAAAATTAACAAAAAGTATTTTAAGATTTATTTGACAGACATCCCAAGTAATTTCATCAGGAGAATTAAGATTTTTTTAAACCAATGATGATGGAACAACAATATATTCATATACAATTTGTATGTTGCCCTCTACCTACTAACATTCACAAACTTAATTTGAGGTAAGTTATGCATCTCATTCAAGAGTTAAAGTCTACGTATTTTATCAAACAAACAAGAACATAGGGGACTGTCTTCATGATGTGGGGTAGGAAAAATATCTGTCCAACAAGGCCAAGAAAAGAAAGCCATAAATAAAAAGGTGATAAATTAAACATTATTTTAAAAGACTAGTAGAAAGAGTTAACAAGTAATGGAATGACAATAAAATAAAAATGAGTGAATGTCTCACACGATCCCTTAACAAATGTAATGAAGATACATAAATGGCCCACAAGCACATGCAAAACGTAGTCAACAGCATTCCTCATTAGGAAAATGCAAATTGAAACCAAGTTGATATTTAATTCCACATAACCACGATAGCTAATACTTTAAAAATAATAATAGCAAATATTGTTAAAAGGTAGAGAAGCCAGGGTTCTCACATATATTCCCAGGTAAGGTAAATTGTACAATCAATTTGAAAAATAGTCTGCTGATTTCTTATAAGTTAAATATAGGTCTTTCCTTTGAGCAATTCAACTCTTAGACGATGAAAAACACAAAAAATAGACAACATGTTGACAAAAGTACTTAAAAAAAGAATTTTTATAGGAGGTTCATTCATAATAGCTCCAAACTGGAAACAGCTCACCAACATGAGAATGAACTGATCAATATAATTATATTCATAGAACACTGTTCACAAATAAAGATAAAAATCTTTGTTTTGCACATTTCCTTGTTCCCCTCTCCAATCGTCTTCTTATATGAAAGAGTTCTTCTGATTTTTTTCAGCATGAATTGGTATTGTGGAGAGATATGAAAGACATGTTGAAATACCAAAGGCAAGAAGACAAATTAATAAGTTTTGGAGTAGCTAAAAGAGAAATGAGGATATCAACCAAGTGCCAATAAAAAAATTAAAAGAAATAAAAAATAAATCCGGAGACACTGGATGGAACTCAAACCAGAGAGCATAAGATGTTGAGTGTTTTGATAAAAAAGAGAGAGATATTTTGCCCACGATTTATACCTGTAAAACATGATACAGATATCCCTATGTGATAAAATATTCTTATGTCAGTAGAAAATATTTTTTTTGACTTGAGTATTTAAGATCTCTTGATCCTGCCTTTGTCTTTGTTGATAAATAAAGCTCATGTGTAATGTGGTTATGGGAAGTGAGTGCAAAATTGTACTTTTGGGCAAGAGATTGATTACCCAGATGATAGACTGGTTAGTAAATTGTTTTAACCAGATGATAGACTGGTTAGTAAAGTATCATTACTTTGTAAATATTTCTGAAAATATTTAATTTCTTTTCAGTTTCTGAAACTATCTGAACAAAACTCAGAATGTATCTTAACATCAGAAAGAAATACTCTGGGCTAAAAGAAGTAATATTGCTAGTGGTCAGAAAAGACATTGATTTCTCTTGGAGGAAATGAGATTTGAATATAGACATTTAGCAAGTAAGACAACAAAACAAAGTATTGAGAACATTTTAAAGAGGGAAAAGAACAGATAAAATACCCTTTACAAAAGACATGAACAGACACTTCTCAAGAAGACTTACAAATGAAAAATTGCTAAACATCACTAATTTTCAGAGAAATGTATATCAAACCCACAATGAGATACCATCTCACACCAGTGAGAATGGCCATCACTAAAAAGTCAAAAAATACCAGATGCTGGGGAGGTTTCAGTGAAAAGGAAATACTTCTTATACATCGTTGGTGGGAATGCCATTACCAGCAATCCCATAACTAGGTGTATACCCAAAGGAAAATATATCATTTTACCAAAAAGACACATGCACATGTATGCTCATTGCAGCACTATTTACATTAGCAAAGCCAAAGAATCGATCTAGGGGCCCATCAATGGTGGATTGAATAAAGAAAATGTGGTGCTTGTACACCATGGAATACTATGCCTCAGGGTATCCACAAATAAAGATCCTATAGTAAACACACAAAAAATATTTTTAGAAAGGATTCCAAGCATATCACTGTAGAAAACTATCAAAACACAGAGGAAGAAAAGAAGAGAGGAGGAAAGGAACAAAGAATCTGCAAAGCATCCCCCTTCCAAATGAACAAAATGGCACTAGTTTTGCTTATCAATAATTAATTTGAATGTAAATGGATTAAAGTTTCCAACAAAAAGACATAGAGTGGCTGAATGACTCTTACCAAAAAAAGACCTAACTATGTATTACTTCAAAAGGCTTACTTCAACTTTAAAGATACATATGGAATGGAACTGAAGATATGAAGAGATATCCTATGCAACTGATATTAAGACAAAAATGGAAAAGAAGATAAAAGTCATTGCAAAATGATAGTCAATTCATTAAGAGGATATAACAATTGTAAATATATATGCACTCAACATTGTAGCATTTAAATAGATAAAGCAAATATTTCAGAGAATCAGACTGCAGTACAATAATAGTAGGAGACTTTTAATACCCCAATTTTAATAATGGGCAACTCATCAAGATATAAAATCAGTAAGAAAATACTGGACTTGAATTACACTTTAGAAGAAATGAAACTAATTGAGATATACACATACCAAAATGTATGTGTTGCAACAAACATAATTCTTAGAGGAAAGTTTATGAAAATAAATGCCTACATTTAATAAAATATCTCTAATAAACAAAATAATGTTAGACAACTAGAAAAAGAACAAACCAAGCCCAAAGTTAGCCAAAGGAAGAAAAGAACAAAGATCAGAGCAGAAATTATTGAAATAGAGAAAAAACAAAAACAATAGAAAACTTTAAAATACAGAGTTAATTTTTTGAAAAGATAAACAAAATTTATAGACATTCAGCTAGACTAAGAAAAAAAGAGAGAGAGGATTCAAACAAATGAAATGAGAAATGAAAGAGGAGACATTACAACCGATACCACAGAAATACAAAGCATCACAAGAAATTACTGTGGAAAATTATGTACCCACAAATTGGATAATCTGGAAGAAAGGGATGAATTCCCAGACACATGTCTTCTAACCAGAACTAAATAAGGAAGAAATAGGAAATCAAAACAGACCAAAAATGAGAAAGAAGATTAAATCAGTAATTAAAAATTCTTCCAACAAAAAGCAGCTCAGAACTGATGTTTTTGTGGTAGAATTCCACCAAACATCTAAAAAAGAAGTAACATTGGTTCTTCTCAAACTCTTCAAAAAACAGAAGAGGATAAAATATTTTCAAAGTCATGCTCTGAGGACACCTTTATTCTGACACCAAAGCCAAAAAAGAACACTTTAAAACTAGAAAATCCGATTTTAATATTCATCATGAACATAAATTCAAAAGTGCCTAATGAATTACTAGGAAACCAAATTCAACAGAAAATTAAGAGGATCATTCACTATGGTCAAGTGAGATTTTTCCCTGTGATCCAAGGCTGATTCAGAATATGCATGTATATAAATGTAATTGCCACATTAACAGAACAAAGGTTAAAAAACTATATGATTATCTCAATAGCTGCAGGAAAAGAATTTGAAAAATTCAATATCTTTTCATAATAAAAATATTCAAAAAATAGGCCAAGAAGGAAGGCATCTACATATAATTCAAGTCATATGTAAAAAGCCGAGAGCCTCCATTGTATTGAAAGGTTAAAAGGTGAAAGTGTTTCCTCTAGTGTCAGGAAAAGACAAAGCGACAAAGATGCCCACTCTCACCACTTGTATTCAACGTAGTCCTGGAGGTCTTAGCAAAAGCAATTAAGCAGAAGAAAGAAACAAAAAGCATCCAAATAAGAAAGAAGTAATTTTTTTTTGCTGTTTGCTAATGATGTCATTTTACACATAGAATATTCTAAAGATGCCTCCAGCAAATTTTTAGAACTTAGAATACAGTGAACTTTCAGGTTACAAAAGCAACAGAAAAAAAATAATTTGTATACACTAACAGTGAACTATCTGAAAAACAAATGAAGAAAACAATCCCATTTGCAACAACATCAAAAAAGCTAAGGGTAAATGGACACTAAGATGGAAGACCAGACACCGGGGATTATCAGAGGGGCAAGGGAGGGAGGTGAGCAAAGACTGGGTACTATGCTCAGCACCTGGGTTATGGGATCACTTGTACCCCCAAACCTCAGCATCATGCAATATACCAATGCAACAAACAAGCACATGTACCCCAAATCTAAAATAAACGTTCAAATAAAAATAGGAATAAATTTAAGCAGGGAAGATCTGTATGTTGAAAACTAAAAAACACTGATAAAGGAAATTGTAGATGATACAAGTAAATAGAAAGATATCTCATATTCATGTATTGGAACAATTAATATTTTTAAGTGCTCAGTCAAACCACCCAGCCAACGTGATCTACAGATTTAATGCAATCCCTATGAAAATTCCAATGACATTTTCTTTTCACAGAAATAGAGAATACTATGAAACTTGTATGGAACCAAAAAATCTTAATAGACAAAGCAATCTTCAGCAAAAGAAAGCTGGAGGTCTCACACTAACTGAACTTTAAAAATTCTACAAAGCAATGGTAACAAACAGAGCATGGTACTGGCATAAAAACAGCCAGCAACCAAAAGAATGTGACAGACAGCGCAGAATTAAACCTACACATTTACAGCCAATTGATATCAACAAAGTGTCCAAAGGAAAGGATAATCTTTTTTAAAAAAAGTTTTAATGTATTTTAAGTTCAGGGGTACCTGTGCAGGTTTGTTACATGGGACTTGTTTCATGGGGGTTCGTGGTACACATTATTTCATCATTATCATAACTAGTCCCCATTAGTTATTTTTCCTGACATCTCCCTCCTCCCACACTCCACCCTTTAAGAGGCCCCAGTGTGTGTTGTTTCCCTCTGTGTGTCCATGTGTTTCCATCATTCAGCTCTCACTTATAAGTGATGACATGTAGTATTTGGTTTTCTGTTCCTGTGTTTATTTGCTAAGGATAATAGCCTCCAGCTCCATCTATGTTGCTGTAAAGAACATGATTTTGTTTTTTGTGGCTGTACAGTACTCCATGGCGTATATGTACCACATTTTCTTTAACAAGTCTGTCACTGTTGGGCGTTTAGGTTGATTCCATGTCTTCGCTATTGGGAATAGTGCTGTGATGAACATACAAATGAAGCAGGTGACTTCACTGTAGAACAATTTACACTCCTTTGGGTATACACCTAATATAGAGATGGCTAGGTGGAATGCTATTTCTGTTTTTAGGTCTTTGAGGAATGCCACACTGTTTTCCACAATGGTTGAACTAATTTACCATTACCTACCAACAGTGTATAATCGGTGCTTTTTCTCTGCAACCTTGCTAGCATCTGTAATTTTTTGACTTTTTAATAATAGCCATTCTAACTGGTGTTAGATGGTGTCTCATTGTGTTTTGATTTGCATTTCTCTAATGATCAGTGATGCTGAGCTTTATTAAATATGATTGTCAGCTGCATGTACGTCTTCTTTTGAAAAGCATCTGTTCTTGCCCTTTGCCTACATTTTTATGGGGTTATTTGTTGTTTTCTTGTAAATTTGTTTTCAGTTCTTTATAGATGCTGGATATTAGACCTTTGTCAGATGCATAGTTTGCAGAAATGTTCTCCCATTTCGTAGGTTGTGTGTTTATTCTGCTGAGAGTTTATTTTGCTGTGCAGATGCTCGTTAGTTCAATTAGGTTCCATTTGTCAATTTTTGCTTTTGTTGCAAATACTTTTCGCATCTTCATCATGAAATATTTGCTCATTCCTATGTCCTGAATGGTATTACCTAGGTTGTTTTCCAGGGTGTTTTTGGGTTTTACATTTAAGTCTTTGATCCATCTTGCATTAATTTTTATATATGGTGTAAGAAATGGGTCCAGTTTTAATCTTCTGCATATAGCTAGCCAGTTATCCCAGCACTATTTATTGAATAGGGAATCCTTTACTCATTGTTTGTTTTTGTCAGGTTTGTCAAAGAGCAGATAGTTGTAGGGTCTGGTCTAATTTCTGGGTTGTCTGTTCTGTTCCATTGTTCTATGTGTCTGTTTTTGTACCACTACCATGCTCTTTTGGTTACTGTAACCATGCAATGTAGTTTGAAGTCAGGTAGCATGATAATGATACCTCCAGCTTTGCTCTTTTTGCTTAGGATTGTCTTGAGTATATGGGCTCTTTTTTGGTTTTATTTGAGTTTTCTGCATATCTCTAGCCAGTTCTCCCAGCACCAATTATTAAATAGGGAATATTTTTCCCATTGCTTGTTTTTGTCAGGTTTTTCAAAGATCAGATGATTGTAGGTGTATAGTCTTATTTGTGGGTTCTCTATTCTGTTCCATTGGTCTATGCCTCTGTTTTTGTACCAGGATCTATGCTGTTTTGGTTACTGTAGCCCAGTACCATAGTTTGAAGTTAGATCGCGTGATGCCTCCAGCTTTTTTCTTTTTTCTTAGGATTGCCTTGGCCTTTTGAGCTTCTATTTGGGTTCCATATAATTTTTAAAATAGTTAGTTTTGTTTTTTTAGTCCTGTGAAGAATGTCAATGGTAGCACTGACTCTGTAAATTGCTTTGGGCAATATGGTAATTTTAATTATTTTGATTCTTACTATTCATGAGCATGGAATTTTTTTTCATTTGCTTGTGTCATCTATAATTCCTTTAAGCAGTGGTTTGTAGTTCTCTTTGTTGAGTCTTTCACCTCCCTTGTTAGCTCTATCCCTAGGTATTTTCTTCTTTTTGTGGCAATTGTGAATGGGAATGCATTCCTGATTTGGCTCTCGGCTTGACTGTTGTTGGTGTATTAAAATGCTGGTGACTTCTGCATATTAAGTTTGTATCCTGAGACTTTGCTGAAGTTGTTTATCAATGTAAGAAGATTTTAGGCTGAGGCTATGGAGTTTTCTAGATACAAGATCATGCCATCTGCAAAGAGAGATAGTTTGACTTCCTCTCTTCCTATTTAGATGCCCTTTATTTCTTTCTCTTGCCTGATTGTTTGGGACAGAACTTCCAATACATGTTGAATAGGAGTGGTGAGAGAGGGCGTCTTTGTCTTGTTCCAGTTTTTAAGGAGAATACTTCCAGCTTTAGACCCTTTAGTATGATATTGGCTGTGGGTTTGTCATAGATGGCTCTTATTATTTTGAGGTATGTTTCTTCAATACCTAGTTTATAGAGAGTTTTTAACATGAATGGATGTTGAATTTTATTGAATGCCTTTTCTGCATCTATTGAGATAATCATGTGGTTTTTGTCTTTAGTTCCATCTGTGTGATGAAACACATTTATTGATCTGTGTATGTTGAACCAACCTTGCATTCCAGGGATAATGCCTACTTGACCATGATGAATGAACTTTTTGATGTGCTACTGGATTCAGTTTGCCAGTATTTTGTTAAAAATTTATAAACACCTCTATGCACATAAACTAGAAAATCTAGAAGAAATGGATGAATTCCTGGACACGTACCCACTCCCAAGACTGAACCAGGAAAAAAATTGAATCCCTGAACACACCAAAAATGAGTTCTGAAATTGAGGCATTAATAGATAGCCTACTTCAACAAAATAGAGGGCATATATACAAAGGCCAGAGGTAACATCATATGTAATGGTGGAAAGCTGAAATATTTTCTTCTAAGATCAGGAACAAGAGAATGATGTTTGCTCTTGCCACTTCTATTTAACACAGTACTATAAGTCCTAGTTAGAGGCTAGGAAAAAATAGGAAACAAAAATAAATAAAAATCATCCAAATCTGCAAGGAAGACATAAAATTGTCTCTGTTTGCAGATGACATGTATATAGAAAAATCTCAAAGACTCCACTAATAAAACTGTTAGAGCTAGGAAATGAATTCAGTAAAAAGAAAAAATCAAAATGCAAAAATTAGTTCTGTTTTTTTTTTTAATTTTCTTTTTTTTATTTTTTGTTTATTATTATACTTTAAGTTTTAGGGTACATGTGCACAATGTGCAGGTTAGTTACATATGTATACATGTGCCATGCTGGTGTGCTGCACCCACTAACTCGTCATCTAACATTAGGTATATCTCCCAATGCTATCCCTCCCCCCTCCCCCCACCCCACAACAGTCCCCAGAGTGTGATGTTCCCCTTCCTGTGTCCATGTGTTCTCATTATTCAATTCCCACCTATGAGTGAGAATATGCGGTGTTTGGTTTTTTGTTCTTGCGATAGTTTACTGAGAATGATGATTTCCAGTTTCATCCATGTCCCTACAAAGGACATGAACTCATCATTTTTTATGGCTGCATAGTATTCCATGGTGTATATGTGCCACATTTTCTTAATCCAGTCTATGATTGTTGGACATTTGGGTTGGTTCCAAGTCTTTGCTACTGTGAACAATGCCGCAATAAAAATACGTGTGCATGTGTCTTTATAGCAGCATGATTTATAGTCCTTTGGTTATATACCCAGTAATGGGATGGCTGGGTCAAATAGTATTTCTAGTTCTAGATCCCTGAGGAATCGCCACACTGACTTCCACAATGGTTGAACTAGTTTACAGTCCCACCAACAGTGTAAAAGTCTTCCTATTTCTCCACATCCTCTCCAGCACCTGTTGTTTCCTGACTTTTTAATGATTGCCATTCTAACTGGTGTGAGATGGTATCTCATTGTGGTTTTGATTTGCATTTCTCTGATGGCCAGTGATGGTGAGCATTTTTTCATGTGTTTTTTGGCTGCATAAATGTCTTCTTTTGAGAAGTGTCTGTTCATGTCCTTTGCCCACTTTTTGATGGGGTTGTTTGTCTTTTTCTTGTAAATTTGTTGGAGTTCATTGTAGATTCTGGATATTAGCCCTTTGTCAGATGAGTAGGTTGCGAAAATTTTCTCCCATTTTATAGGTTGCCTGTTCACTCTGATGGTAGTTTCTTTTGCTGTGCAGAAGCTCTTTAGTTTAATTAGATCCCATTTGTCAATTTTGTCTTTTGTTGCCATTGCTTTTGGTGTTTTAGACATGAAGTCCTTGTCCATGCCTATGTCCTGAATGGTAATGCCTATGTTTTCTTCTAGGGTTTTTATGGTTTTAGGTCTAACGTTTAAGTCTTTAATCCATCTTGAATTTATTTTTGTATAAGGTGTAAGGAAGGGATCCAGTTTCAGCTTTCTACATATGGCTAGCCAGTTTTCCCAGCACCATTTATTAAATAGGGAATCCTTTCCCCATTGCTTGTTTTTCTCAGGTTTGTCAAAGATCAGATAGTTGTAGATATGCGGCGTTATTTCTGAGGGCTCTGTTCTGTTCCATTGATCTATATCTCTGTTTAGGTACCAGTACCATGCTGTTTTGGTTACTGCAGCCTTATAGTATAGTTTGAAGTCAGGTAGTGTGATGCCTCCAGCTTTGTTCTTTTGGTTCAGGATTGACTTGGTGATGTGGGCTCTTTTTTGGTTCCATATGAACTTTAAAGTCGTTTTTTCCAATTCTGTGAAGAAAGGCATTGGTAGCTTGATGGGGATGGCATTGAATCTGTAAATTACCTTGGGCAGTATGGCCATTTTCATGATATTGAGTCTTCCTACCCATGAGCATGGAATGTTCTTCCATTTCTTTGTATCCTCTTTTATTTCCTTGAGCAGTGGTTTGTAGTTCTCCTTGAAGAGGTCCTTCACGTCCCTTGTAACTTGGATTCCTAGGTATTTTATTCTCTTTGAAGCAATTGTGAATGGGAGTTCACTCATGATTTGGCTGTTTGTCTGTTATTGGTGTATAAGAATGCTTGTGATTTTTGCACATTGATTTTGTATCCTGAGACTTTGCTGAAGTTGCTTATCAGCTTAAGGAGATTTTGGGCTGAGACAATGGGGTTTTCTAGATATACAATCATGTCGTCTGCAAACAGGGACAATTTGACTTCCTCTTTTCCTAATTGAATACACTTTATTTCCTTCTCCTGCCTAATTGCCCTGGCCAGAACTTCCAACACTATGTTGAATAGGAGTGGTGAGAGAGGGCATCCCTGTCTTGTGCCAGTTTTCAAAGGGAATGCTTCCAGTTTTTGCCCATTCAGTATGATATTGGCTGTGGCTTTGTCATAGATAGCTCTTATGATTTTGAGATAAGTCCCATCAATACCTAATTTATTGAGAGTTTTTAGCATGAAGGGTTGTTGACTTTTGTCAAAGGCCTTTTCTGCATCTATTGAGATAATCATGTGGTTTTTGTCTTTGGTTCTGTTTATATGCTGGATTACATTTATTGATTTGCATATATTGAACCAGCCTTGCATCCCAGGGATGAAGCCCACTTGATCATGGTGGATAAGCTTTTTGATGTGCTGCTGGATTCGGTTTGCCAGTATTTTATTGAGGATTTTTGCATCAATGTTCATCAAGGATATTGGTCTAAAATTCTCTTTTTTGGTTGTGTCTCTGCCCGGCTTTGGTATCAGGATGATGCTGGCCTCATAAAATGAGTTAGGGAGGATTCCCTCTTTTTCTATTGATTGGAATAGTTTCAGAAGGAATGGTACTAGTTCCTCCTCATACCTCTGGTAGAATTCGGCTGTGAATCCATCTGGTCCTGGACTCTTTTTGGTTGGTAAGCTATTGATTATTGCCACAATTTCAGCTCCTGTTATTGGTCTATTCAGAGATTCAACTTCTTCCTGGTTTAGTCTTGGGAGGGTGTATGTGTCGAGGAATTTATCCATTTCTTCTAGATTTTCTAGTTTATTTGCGTAGAGGTGTTTGTAGTATTCTCTGATGGTAGTTTGTATTTCTGTGGGATCGGTGGTGATATCCCCTTTATCATTTTTATTGCATCTATTTGATTATTCTCTCTTTTTTTTTTATTAGTCTTGCTAGTGGTCTATCAATTTTGTTGATCCTTTCAAAAAACCAGCTCCTGGATTCGTTAATTTTTTGAAGGGTTTTTTGTGTCTCTATTCCCTTCAGTTCTGCTCTGATTTTAGTTATTTCTTGCCTTCTGCTAGCTTTTGAATGTGTTTGCTCTTGCTTTTCTAGTTCTTTTAATTGTGATGTTAGGGTGTCAATTTTGGATCTTTCCTGCTTTCTCTTGTGGGCATTTAGTGCTATAAATTTCCCTCTACACACTGCTTTGAATGCGTCCCAGAGATTCTGGCATGCTGTGTCTTTGTTCTCATTGGTTTCAAGAACATCTTTATTTCTGCCTTCATTTTGTTATGTACCCAGTAGTCATTCAGGAGCAGGTTGTTCAGTTTCCATGTAGTTGAATGGTTTTGAGTGAGATTCTTAATTCTGAGTTCTAGTTTGATTGCACTGTGGTCTGAGAGATAGTTTGTTATAATTTCTGTTCTTTTACATTTGCTGAGGAGAGCTTTTCTTCCAAGTATGTGGTCAATTTTGGAATAGGTGTGGTGTGGTGCTGAAAAAAATGTATATTCTGTTGATTTGGGGTGGAGAGTTCTGTAGATGTCTATTAGGTCCTCTTGATGCAGAGCTGAGTTCAATTCCTGGGTATCCTTGTTGACTTTCTGTCTCGTTGATCTGTCTAATGTTGACAGTGGGGTGTTAAAGTCTCCCATTATTAATGAGTGGGAGTCTAAGCCTCTTTGTAGGTCACTCAGGACTTGCTTTATGAATCTGGGTGCTCCTGTATTGGGTGCACATGTATTTAGGATAGTTAGCTCTTCTTGTTGAATTGATCCCTTTACCATTAAGTAATGGCCTTCTTTGTCTCTTTTGATCTTTGTTGGTTTAAAGTCTGTTTTATCAGAGACTAGAATTGCAATTCCTGCCTTTTTTTGTTTTCCTTTTGCTTGGTAGATTTGCCTCCATCCTTTTATTTTGAGCCCATGTGTGTCCCTGCCCGTGAGATGGGTTTCCTGAATACAGCACACTGATGGGTCTTGACTCTTTATCCAATGTGCCAGTCTGTGTCTTTTAATTGGAGCATTTAGTCCATTTACATTTAAAGTTAATATTGTTATGTGTGAATTTGATCCTGTCATTATGATGTTAGCTGGTTATTTTGCTCGTTAGTTGATGCAGTTTCTTCCTAGTCTCAATGGTCTTTACATTTTGGCATGATTTTGCAGCGGCTGGTACCGGTTGTTCCTTTCCATGTTTAGCACTTCCTCCAGGAGCTCTTTTAGGGCAGGCCTGGTGGTGACAAAATCTGTCAGCATTTGCTTGTCTGTAAAGTATTTTATTTCTCCTTCACTTATGAAGCTTAGTTTGGCTGGATATGAAATTCTGGGTTGAAAATTCTTTTCTTTAAGAATGTTGAATATTGACCCCCACTCTCTTCTGGCTTGTACGGTTTCTGCCGAGAGATCTGCTGTTAGTCTGATGGGCTTCCCTTTGAGGGTAACCCAACCTTTCTCTCTGGCTGCCCGTAACATTTTTTCCTTCATTTCAACTTTGGTGAATCTGACAATTATGTGTCTTGGAGCTGCTCTTCTCGAGGAGTATCTTTGTGGCGTTCTGTGTATTTCCTGAATCTGAATGTTGGCCTGCCTTGCTAGATTGGGAAAGTTCTCCTGGATAATATCCTGAAGAGTGTTTTCTAACTTGGTTCCATTCCTCCCATCACTTTCAGGTACACCAAACAGACATAGATTTGGTCTTTTCACATAGTCCCATATTTCTTGGAGGCTTTGCTCGTTTCTTTTTATTCTTTGTTCTCTAAACTTCCCTTCTCGCTTCATTTCATTCATTTCATCTTCCATCGCTGATACCCTTTCTTCCAGTTGATCGCATCGGCTCCTGAGGCTTCTGCATTCTTCACGTAGTTCTCGAGCCTTGGCTTTCAGCTCCATCAGCTCCTTTAAGCACTTCTCTGTATTGGTTATTCTAGTTATACATTCTTCTAAATTTTTTTCAAAGTTTTCAACTTCTTTGCCTTTGGTTTGAATGTCCTCCCGTAGCTCGGAGTAATTTCATCGTCTGAAGCCTTCTTCTCTCAGCTCGTCAAAGTCATTCTCCGTCCAGCTTTGTTCCATTGCTGGTGAGGAACTGCGTTCCTTTGGAGGAGGAGAGGCACTCTGCTTTTTAGAGTTTCCAGTTTTTCTGCTCTGTTTTTTCCCCATCTTTGTGGTTTTATCTACTTTTGTTCTTTGATGATGGTGATGTACAGATGGGTTTTTGGTGTTGATGTCCTTTCTGTTGGTTAGTTTTCCTTCTAACAGACAGGACCCTCAGCTGCAGGTCTGTTGGAGTACCCGGCTGTGTGAGGTGTCAGTCTGCCCCTGCTGGGGGGTGCCTCCCAGTTAGGCTGCTCGGGGGTCAGGGGTCAGGGACCCACTTGAGGAGGCAGTCTGCCCATTCTCAGATCTCCAGCTGCGTGCTGGGAGAACCACTGCTGTCTTCAAAGCTGTGAGACAGGGACATTTAAGTCTTCCGAGGTTACTGCTGTCTTTTTGTTTGTCTGTGCCCTGCCCGCAGAGGTGGAGCCTACAGAGGCAGGCAGGCCTCCTTGAGCTGTGGTGGGCTCCACCCAGTTCGAGCTTCCTGGCTGCTTTGTTTACCTAAGCAAGCCTGGGCAATGGTGGGTGCCCCTCCCCCAGCCTCGCTGCCACCTTGCAGTTTGATTTCAGACTGCTGTGCTAGCAATCAGCGAGATTCCGTGGGCGTAGGACCCTCCGAGCCAGGTGTGGGATATAATCTCCTGGTGCGCCGTATTTTAAGCCCTTCGGAAAAGCGCAGTGGGAGTGACCCGATTTTCCAGGTGCCATCTGTCACCACTTTCTTTGACTAGGAAAGGGAGCTCCCTGACCCCTTGCGCTTCCCGACTGAGGCAATGTCTCATCCTGCTTTGGCTCGCGCATGGTGCATGCACCCACTGACCTGCGCCCGCTGTCTGGCCCTCCCTAGTAAGATGAACCCGGTACCTCAGATGGAAATGCAGAAATCACCCATCTTCTGCATCGCTCACACTTGGAGCCATAGACCGGAGCTCTTCCTATTTGGCCATCTTGGCTCCTCCCTAGTTGTGTTTTTATATGCTGAAAACAAGCAATCTATTCAACTAGTGGTGATGAGAAACAGTATATCCATATGCAAAACAGTGAAGTCAGGCTTTTATCTTACACCATGTAAAGATTAATTCAAGTAGATAAAAAACTTTAATATAAGAACCAAAATGACGAAACTCTTAGAAGAAAACAAAGGGAAAAATCATGACATTGTATTTGGCAATAATTTTTTGTATGTAAAAACCAGAAGTATAGGCATTAAAAGAGGAAAACAAATAAAATTTATTTCATCAAAATTAACATTTTGCACATCAAAGGACACTTTCAGAAAAGTAAAAAGGCAGCTCTCTCATGATGGGAAAAATAGTTGCAAAGTACATAGCTGATAAGAAATTAAATCTACAATATATTTTTAAAACTTACAATGAAATAACAACAAAATAGACAACCCAACTGAAAAATAGGCAAAGAGCTTGAATAGGCATTTCTTAAAAAAGATAAGCATGTGACCAATAAGGATGTGAAAAAAAGTTGTGCATCACTAATCATTAGGTAAATGCAAATCAAAACCTCAGTGAGATACCACTTTATACCTATTAAAATGGTTATTATTAAAATAAACAAAGAAAATCAGAAACAGAAAGTGTTGGGGAAGATGTGCAGAAATTGGAACTTCTGTGCATTGCTCCTGCAGCCACTGTGGAAACCAAATGATACATCCTTTAAAAAGTGAAAGAATTATCATGTTATCCAGCAATTCCACTTCTTGGCTTATGCACAAAAGAATTGAAAGCTTGAATTTGAACAGATATTTGCATACCTATGTTTATAGCATCATTATTCACAATAGTCAAAAGATAAAAAATGACCTAAATATTCCTTAATGGATGAAGGGAGAAACAAAATGTATATACATGCAATGGAACATTATATAACCTTAAAAAAGAATAAAATTCTGGTTCATGCTACAACATAGATAAAACTTAGATGAAGTGAAGCTATGCATAAAAGGAAACATATGACATACTAGAATATTCAAATTCATAGAGATAGAAAGATAACTTGACTGGTATGAGACTCATTTCTCTGCCAAGCATCACCATGGCAACCACACAAGTTTGTCTCCTTTGGGTTTTCTAATAAAGGGTTCTTATTAGTCTCTGAGAATTTCCCCGAATTTATCTAATAGAATAAGGCTCCAATTAGCTACAACTTTGGAGTGAATAAAATAAAGTTTTAACTCTTGCTAATGAGAGGCTATTTAATAAGACTCTGTGGGTGTTCAGCTTTGACAAACTCATTAAAAGTTTTCATATCACAATCCCAGAAGCCTGATTTAACAAGCCTCGGAACAGCATTCTTCCAATTAACTCCCTTCTTCCCCGTGCTTGGAGCAGAGAAACAGTTGCCTGTGATTAGTGATTTGCTGTCTTTGTTAATGATCAACCCCATCTCCATTATTATAAGGGAAAACAAAATAATTAAAGTTTTGTAGAGTTTATCAATGCTTTCAGGGCAGTGGAAGTGCCCTTCGACTTCTGTGTACTAACTTTGTTAATGATCTGTTGAGTAATAGAAGACCTCAGAATCTTTCTTAAACATTTTTAGAATAAATATAAATTAAAATATATGTATATATATAAAGGATATTATAATAAGTCCAACAAACCTAATAGTGGTTGAGAGAGATTGTGTGGCAAACTCTGAAAGCTAAAAAGTTGTTGAGATGATATTAATTCTAGTCTCTCTTTGCTTCTTAATATTTTAATGTACAGGCATTTAAGAATATTATAAATAATAACCCACTAGATAATCTTTCAGGCAATAATTTTATTTATATCTATATTTGTACAAAAAGGGGTGAGAGGTATTAAACCATTTTTTTCTGAGATCCTTTTCATCCCTAATTACTGCTGTAGTATATTACTGATAATATTTTACTTTCAATGATAGGTAGGCATGAGAGTGCTAAGGCATTGTAGATTAGTATAAATCATGAGCATACTGATGCAAAGACTCAGAAGCTCATCTTCACACATTGATTCTCATAGCCACTCACTTAGATGCCTCCCTGAAGGAAATACATACGGTGATCAATGCCAGGAAAAAAGGCCCTTTATTTTTATTTTGTGTTATTTTTTATTGATGCAAATATTTGTATACTTATGGGATACATGTGACATTCTGTTACATGCATAGAATGTATAATGATAATGTCAGGGGATTTGGGATGTCTGTCACCTCGAGTATTTATCATTTCTAGGGTTTGGGAATATTTCAAGTTCTCTCTTCTAGCTATTTTGAAATGTATAATGCATTGTTTTTAAGTATAGTCACTGTACTCTGTTACCGGGCATTAGAACATATTCCTTCTATTTAACTGTATGCTTGTATCCACTAATCAACTTCTCTTCATCTCCTTCTACACACACTCTTCCCAGTCTCTGGTATCTATCATTTTATCTTCTAACTCCATGAGATCATCTTTTTTAGTTCCCATATATGAGTGGGAATATGTGAGATTTGCAAAAGACCCTTTTAAAATCTCATTATTTTTGTCCGTTTTTCTTCACTCCTCAATTTAGTTGCTTATGGAGCTTTTTGAAATACCCTGTGTTCCCTCTATGTACTTTCTGCCTAAATTCACAGGCAAGCTCATGTCTTTATAGATGTGGCCACAGGAAGGCTCACACACTAAGAGGAAGGTAAAGGAAGGCCTCTCCATAAAAAAAAAATAAAATAAAACAAAACAAAGCAAAATTGTTTTGTTTGTTTTGAAACTTGTGTTTCAAAGACTAGTTGGATCACTCAGTTTACCATGTCACAATTCTATTTGTATTCATACTGAAATAGGCATCTAAGTGTTACAATTGCCTGTCATTATGGAAGCAAAGACTCTTTAAATATCCTTTAAGTAGTAGTTAAATTTTGGTTATCTAAAAAGTACATTTGAACCTTTCACCCAACATAAAATCTAAGAACTCAATAGCAATTTACATATAACATGTGGCCTCACCTTACTCCATTTCACTACTTCTACTGCCAAAATTTTGAGCATCCTAAACCCAATGTTCCACATCCTCTCATTCTCATGTTCATTTAGCTTTATGTAGATGTTAAACATCTTTTGTTTTGATTCTTTAATGATTCATAAAATTTTAGAAAAGCTATTGTGCAGCAAGTAATCTTCCTGAGCTTGCTTTATGGTATTATTAAGATTCATTCTATTTTTTTATTGCTCAAATATATTGCTTTCAGCTATTGTAAAATATTCCAATTTGTGAATACAAGAAAAATTATTTATCATATTATTTAGACACAGAAATTTTATATATCTACCATAGAAACAAACCTTTTGAACATGCCTTTGTGTGACTCCTAGTATACTGGAAGAAGTTTCTTGGGTTCTATGGAGAGAAATAGAATGGTTGGACTGTTTGGAATGTAAAAGTCCAATATAAAACATGGTGTTGATTTCTTTTCCAAAGTGCCAATATCGGTTTTCATTCTAGTCGGCAATGCTAAATTGTTTTGCTAATAAACATACTCAACAACATTCAGTATTGTTTGAGTTTTCTATTTTTTCTGCTGGAATGGGGATAAAATACCACTCTTGACAATTATGTCAGAAGTTTACTGGCCACGTGTGTCTGTTTTTCTGTGAAATAACTGCTCATATATTTTTCTTATTTTTCAGTATATATATATATATATATATATATATGAAGTTGAATCAAATAATATTATTAAATATAGGTGTATATTTATTTAGTATACTGTTTCATCTTAGTGCATAACTAGAATTTCCACCTATTTGAGGTATCTATCAATGGACAAAGTTTAAAATTTTTAACTTGGTCAAATTTGTCAATGATTGTATTTATAGTTATTACTTTATATGACTTGCTTAAGAAATTGATGTCTGCTCGGGAACATTTGCCTATAATTTAAAACAAATATTTGTTGTGTTTTCAATATGTGTTTTTAATACAGTTGAGGTTGATTTTTGTACATTGTTCAGTAGGAACTAAATTTAATATATCTCCCTATAAGTAATATTTTCTCAATAATTTTATTAAAATTAAGTAGATTTACATTTGTTCAAAAAGTGGTATTATTTGAGGCCGATTAATTGTAATAAAAATTAGTCACAATAATGTATAATGTCTTACATCCAAATGAAGCTTACTTCTTGTTTTTGTAGCAGTGTTGGAAGTGTGGACATGTACTGCTTGTTGGTGCAGCTTCAGGGACCTAGGAAGACAGAGTCCCTGCCTGGGTTTCCTCGGGACATCTCCATTGAACAGCCACAGTGAAAAATATAATGTGCAAGAAAGCATCTCGGGGAGTGTTTCTCTTTTTCCTCCGTTTCTTCCTCCCTTCCTCCCTCTGTCACTCCCTTTTTTTCTTTTGCTGAAATACCCATATTTCTTTTAAAAATTTTTAATTTTTGAAAAATAGAGCACCACATCAAAGAAAAAAAAATTAAGGAACTACCAAGGATCAAAAAAATCTTGTTTCATATTTATCCACCCAACAAATCTAAATGCATTTAATGTTTGTGGAGTTTTGTTTTGTTTTGAGATGGAGTCCTGCTCTGTTTCCCAGTGCAGTGGTACGATCTCAGCTCACTGCAACCTCTGCCTCCCGGGTTCAAGCGATTCTCCTGCCTCAGCGTCCTGAGTAGCTGATTATAGGTGTGTGCCACCATGTCTGGCTAATTTTTGTATTTTTAGTAGAGATGGGTTTCACCTTGTTGGTCCGGCTGGTCTTGAACTCCTGACATTGTGATCTGCCTGCCTTGGCCTCCCAAAGTGTTGGGATTACAGGCGTGAATCACCGTGCCTGGCCATTTGTTTAGACATCTTATCACTTCTTCATTATACCTAATCTTGAATTCATAGTTTCTTCCTTTGTACTTAACCACAATACCTTATCACACAAATACAATTAACAGTATTTCCACAATGTCATCTAATAGGACATCTGTAAGCACATTTCTTAATAATCTCAATAATCTCATGTCTTACAATTGACTTATTTGGATGAAGACACCCACACACAAAAAAAACGCCGCATGTTGCCAGTTGAGGTTTCTAATTACACATGAATTTCCAGCCGGCACTCTGAGCAGCAACCACATTCCTTCAATCTCCATAGAAGGTCACTCTGTCTATGTGTACACAGACTAGAAGTGCCAGAGAATAAAAATCGCCAGCAGAGAAGCCCCCGAACAACCCTGGTGAAAATCAAGTTCTGTCTCCTCTCTCACAGGCAAGAATGATTCTCAAGGGTGTGCATTTTATATACTTTCTCAGAAGTGAGCCACAGGATTAGGTTGGATTTGCCCTCTGTAGTAGCTTACTCAATAAAACACGCTTTATTAACTTCCTTTCCTTCTCTGTATTAATTCTTTATAAATATAGACTTTTCCAGATAAAGAAAAGCTGAGGGATTTCATCAACACCAGACCTGTCTTACAAGAAATGCTAGAGAGAGTTCTTCAACATGAGAGAAAAAAAGTATTAATGAGCATCTGAAGGTACAAATCTCTCTGGTAATGGTAAGTACACAGGAAAAGACAGACTATTACAATACTGTAATTGTGGTGTGTAAACTACTCATATCTTAAGTAGAAAGATGAAAAGATGAACCAATCAAAAATGATATCTACAACAACTTTGTAAGACATAGACAGTACAATAAGATATAAACTGAAACAACAAAAAGTTACAAAGTGAAGGTATGAAGTTAAAGTGTAGAGGGTTTTTTTTTAAGTTCCTTTTTGCTTGCTTCTTGTTTGATTGTGAAATCAGGGTTACGTTGGTCATGAATTTTAAATAATGGGAGATAAGATATTACTCCCAAGGCTCACAATAATTTGAAATGTAAAAATACACAACAAGCACAGGCAACTGAAGCAAAAATGGACAAATAAGATCACATCAATTTAAAAAGCTTCTGCATAGCATAGGAAACAATAAAGTGAAGAGAAAACCCACAGAATGAAAGAAAAAATTTTCAAACTACTCATCTGACAAGGGATTAATAACCAGAATATATAAGGAGCTCAAACAACTCTATAGGAAAAAATGTATTAATCCAATTTAAAAATGGGTGAGAGTTGAATAGACATTTCTCAAAAGAAGACATACAAATGGCAAACAGGTATATGAAAAGGTGCTCAACATGTTGATCATAAGAAATGTGTAAATTAAAACTACAGTGAGATATCATCTCACCCCAGGCAAAATGACTTTCATATAAAAGAAAGGCAATACCAAATTATGCCAGAATGTGGAGAAAAGGGAGCCCTCCTACACTGCTAGTGGGAATGTGAATTAGTACAACCACCATAAAGGACAGTTTGGAGGTTCCTCAAAAAACTAAAAACAGAGTTACCACATGATTCAGCAATTCTACTGCTAGGCATACATCCAAAAGAAAGGTAATCAGTATATTGAAGAGATATCTGCACTCCATGTTTATTGGAGCAGTATTCGCAATAACTAAGATTTGCAAGCAAACTGTGTCTATCAACAGATGAATGGATAAAGAAAATGTGGTACATATACACAATGAAGTACTATTCAGCCGTAAAAAATAATGAGATCCTGTCATTTGCAACAACATGGATGGAACTGGAGGTTATTATATTAAATGAAATAAGCCAGACACAGAGAGATAGACTTCAAATGTTCTCCCTTATTGGTGGGAGTTAAAAATTAAAACAACTGGGCTCATGGAGATAGAGAGTAGAAGGATGGTTATCACAGGCTGAGAAGGGTAGTGGGGGTGGGGATTAGGAAGAATAAGTGGGGATGTTTAATGGGTACAAAATATAATTAGAAAGCATGAATGCCTTAGTGTTTGATAGCACAACGGAGTGACTATAGCCAATGATAATTGTGCATTTAAAAATAACTAAAAGTATAACTGGATATTTTGTAACATAAAGGACAAATGCCTGGGATGATGGATACCTCAATTATCTGATATGATTATTATGCATTGCATGCATGTATCAAAATATCTCATGTACCCCATAAATATATACACCTACTATGTACTCACAGAAAGTAAAAATTAAAAATAAAAAGGTCTAAAATATTTAATGTGGATAGCATGACTTTACTCCAGAATTTTACTGATTTCATTTGAATTATCCCATGGAAACATACAATAAATGCCACACAATGTAATTTCCCAATAATAATAGCTCTAATACTATAGATTCTAACACTTGCATGGTCCAAGTTTCAGAGTTGCTTGCACTGCATCCTGGATTGCAGTGAATCCTCTTTCTGTTATTGGAGTTACTCAAAGTCAGTATCTTTTTGCGTAACCCACTATATAGATCTAAATAATAATCCAGGTGTGGTATATGCTGCCGTCAAAACCCAAAAAGGTATACCAAGTATTGTCTATCTGTTATCTATCTATCTATCCATCTATCTATCTATTTATCTATCTATCTATCTATCATGTATCTATCTTTTGGTGAGAGGGCAAGATGCAGTAATCTTTCCTTTGCTTTGGATATCCCATGAGACTTTAAGTGGCATGTAACTTCCTACAACCTTTATTTTTGTGGAAGACCGCTGATATTGGTAAGGTATATCTTGCACCTTTGGATAACAAATGTATTACAATGTCTCCAGTGTGCTAGCTATTTCTTACAGCTCAGTCCAATTAGCATATTGTCCTCTAAATGTAGTACATTTTTTTTTATGCAGCATGTCCAGGTAGCTTGTATTTCTTTCACTTACATCATGACAGAGGACAGGAGGATAGGCATAGACCGAGGTATTATAAATAGAAGATGTCTGATCCTTATGAATGTGAGTTGTTCTTGATATTCTTTCCTCAGAGTGATAGAAAAGAGCTCATTTACCAAATCAATAGTAGGTGCATAAGACCATCTTAATTTGCTCTAGAAAAGATACTGAGTCTAACATAGGAACTTCTACTTACTGGAGTTTCAGGAATTGTGTGGGTTTTGAAGAGGTTAAAGTAGTAAATTAACAGAAATACAATGGAAATCACCATATCTTAGTCATCTAGATAAACATACTTCAAAAGAAATATAATATGCCACCTAGGTAATTTAAAAATATACTAGTGACCACAGTTTTAAAAGTTAAGATGAAATGTTAAATTATTTTTTAAATGATTTCATCTTTTATTTTAGACACAGTGGGTACATGTGCGTGTTTGTTACATGTGTATATTTCATCACGCTGAGGTTTAGGGTATAGATCCCATCACCCAGGTTGTGAGCATAGTATCCCATAGGTAGTTTTGCAACCCACACTCCCCTCCCTTCCTTCCCCATTTGGTAGTCCACAGTGTCTATTGTTTCCATCTTTACATCCTTGAGTACCCAAAGTTTAGCTCCTATGTATAAGTGAGAACATGCAGTATTTGGTTTTTTGTTACTGCATTAATTCACTTAGGATAATGGCCTCCAGTTGCATCCATGTTGCTACAAAGGACATGATTTTGTTCTTTTTTATGGCTATGTAGCACTCTGTGGTGTTTATGTGCTACATTTTCTTTATCCAATCCACCATTGATGGGCATGTAGGTTGATTCCTTGCTATTGGGAATAACACTGCAATGAATGAATAATTTGTCTTTGGGGTAGAACAATTTATTTTCTTTTGGATGTATCCCCAGTAATAGCATTCCTGGGTCAAGTAGCAGCCCTGTTTTAAGTTCTTCGAGAAATCTCCAAACTGCTTTCCACAGTGGCTCAACTATAATTTACATTCCCACCAACAGTGTATATGTGTTCCTTTTCTCCACAGCTTCACTAGTATTTGTTATTATTTGACTTTATTAATGGTCATTTTGACGGGACTGGTGTGAGATGGTCTCTCATTTAGGTTTTGATTTGCATTTCTCTCATAACTAACTATGATGACCATTTTTTCATGTTTGTTGGCTGCTCATATGCCTTCTTTTGAGAAATGCATGGTCATGTGCTTTGCCCACTTTTTAATGGGATTATTTAATGGGGTTTTGCTTGTTGACTTAAGTTCCGTATAGAATCTGGATGTTAGACCTTTGTTGGATGCACATTTTGCTAATATCTTCTCCCATTCTGTAGATTGTCTGTTTACTCTGCTGATAATTTCTGTTGCTGTGAAGAAGCTCTTTAATTAGGTCTAGCTTGTCAATTTTTGTTGCAAATGTTTTTGGGAAATTAGCCAAAAATTATTTGCCAAGCCTGGTATCAAGAACGGCATTTCCTAAGTTTTCTTCTAGGATTTTCTTACGTTTAAGTCTTTAATCCATCTCGAGTTAATTTCTGTACATGCTGAAAGGTAGCTCTCTCTGCTGTGGCCTCTGCCTGAGGGAGGGCTGTAGCCCGAAACATCTAATAAAAGAAATGCAGGCGAAGTGCTAGTAATTGGAGGGGCCTCCTCCAAGGCTCAGGAGTCGTCCTGGTAAGGAGGCATCTCTCTCAACCCCCACCGGACAGCGTGCCTGCGAATGCCAGGAAACACGAAAGAGCCAAGTGGCCGATCAAGAGCCTCTCTACGGGCATTACTCTTAGGCGCCATCTACTGGATTACAGCCCAAACTTCAACACCAAAAATTAAGTTAAAACTAATACGTCCAAAATATTGTTTCAACAGGCAAGCAACCTTAAAAATTAATAACGATATATTTTACATTTTATGTATAAACTTTTTAAAATCAAGCGTTTATTTTACATTTTCAGCTCATAATTCAGACACTAATTTTTTTTCAAAAATACTTGGTCTGCATTTAAATTTAATAAAATTTACAGTTGAAAAATTAGATTCACATATACGCAATGTCCCAAACATACTCAAAACATTTTTCATCACTAAATTGAGTAAGCAATATAACTTCTTTCAAGTCGGTATTATTAACATCAAATTCAAAAATTTAACATATAAATTAAAAAGTAACTTTAAATTCATCAATATCAAAATTGTTTTCAAATGTTTCTTGTAGATTTTGCAGTTTACATAATTGCATATTAAAATTACTTTTTTCTGCATATTATGTGTAAAATCAAATGTACAAAATCATTATCGATTCATATCATAAAATGTTTCCATTTCAAGCTCAATTTTCATACTTCTCTTAGTAGATCACAGATAAGTCTTTCTTTTCTGGTTGTTCTAAATTTACCTGTTTCACATAAGGTGTGATGTTGCTGACAAAATGTAAATCACACTTCTATTTGTTATCATGACTATTGAAATGCTTGCTATATATTTTGATTAAAGAAGATCCGGAGTGGGAGTGAAAGTACAGTAAATCTTTGTAAAACTCGGGGCTGGGTGCTGTGGCTGACGCATGTAATCCAGGCACTTTGGGAGGCCAAGGCGGGCGGATCACGAGGTCAAGAGATTGAGACCATCCTGGCCAACATGGTGAAATCCCGTCTCTACTAAAAATACAAAAATTAGCCAGTTGTGGTAGCATGCGCCTGTAGTCCTGGCTACTCGGGAGGCTGAGGCAGGAGAATCACTTGGACCCAGGAGGTGGAGGCTGCAGTGAGCCAAGATCCCACCATTGCACTCCAGCCTGGTGACAGAGCAAGACTCCGTCTCAAAAAAAAACTTTGTAAAACTCTTTCTGGCTCAACCAGTGAACACTGACTGGCAAAGATATGTCATTAAATTCACTGTTTTGTATTATAAAATTTAATTAATTGAATTAATAAAATTGAATTCATTGGTGAAGAATCAGCATATACAAGTATAAATTGAATAAATTGAGCAACTGTACCCACGACACATATATTCTGCTTCCAAAAACTGAGCATAAACATTTCCAGTGTGTATCATAAAGTGGAATGAAACACATAGGGACATAGTATTATCTTCTTTTAAAATCCCAATAAATCTAAATTTTTGACTTGACATAGCTAGGGCGACATTTGCTATGATAAAAACTACTTTTTATATTTAACAGAAATTATTTATTTATTTATTTACTGAGATGGAGTTTTGCTTTTGTTGCCCAGGCTGGAGTGCAATGGCATGATCTCGGCTCACAGCAACCTCCACTTCCCAAGTTCAAGCGATTCTCCTGCCTCAGCCCCACGAGTAGCTGGGATTACAGGCATGGGCCACCACGCCCGGCTGATTTTGTATTTTTTTAGTCGAGATGAAATTTCTCCATGTTGGTCAGGCTGGCCTTGAACTCCCAACCTCAGATAATCTGCCCGCCTCGGCCTCCCAAAGTGCTGGGATTACAGGCATGAGCGAGCCACTGCATCCGGCCCAGAAATTATTTTTTTTAAGGATAAAATTAGCCTTTGTTTTAATTTTTAAAATTTGCTAGCACATTTTTAAATTAGAAAACATTTGATTATACTATACTTAAAAATAAGCATGTCAATCTAAATAATAATTATGAATATTACTGTGGTGAGTACAAAAATTTCAGTTGAATCAATCCATTGGTGCTTACGAAGCAAAATATTAAGCAACAGTGTTAGTCCCTTCTTGCCCAGGGTGTATATAGAAATGTCATCTGGGATGGAGGTCCTGGAATAAGGGCCTCACAGCTTTGACGAGTGCATTTTCTTGCTGTGGCTAAACTGGTATCCAAGATGTGAGACAAAGTCCTCTCCACTCTTTCTTCTCCTCAAGTGGAAGAACTCTTTTGGAGCCATGAGCTGTGCAGCCTGAGGTTAGGCAAGGGTGATGCCAGCACAACCTCAGTTGCCCCAGCTGCTGTCTCTGTAGTTCACGTGCCCGCCGCACAGTCCACTATCTCGGGGCCCAATTCAGCACTAGGACTCACCTAAGAGTTGCAGTACTTATGGCATAGACCGCCTTTTAAGTTTACTTAGAGCCTCAGCGCATTTTAGCCCTCAGTGTCAAGGTTTGTGGGAACACAAGTTTTGACCACTGGGATCAGTAATTCCCCTCTGACAAGGGCTGGTTTAAATGCTCTGTCTGTGGCCAGGCATCAGCTGAATTTTATCTGGTTTTCCTTTCTGCTCTTACAGGACAGCACTGAGCTCAAAGCCTCACAATTGCTGTGTTCTTTCTCACCAGAGCCCAGAGACACTCTTAGCACACTGTTCCTTCTGTCAGTGGTGAGAGAGGGGTGGCATTGTCTGTTCAAGTTGTTTTTTCTACCTCTTCACTGCCTCTTCAGTGATATAAAGTTAAAACCAGGTACTACGAAGGCTCACCTGATTTTTGGCTCTCATGAATGTGTTGTTCGTGTATGGATTATTGTTAAATTGCTGTCCTTGCATGTGAACGATCAGTGGAGCCTTCTATTCCATCATCTTGCTCTGCCTTCAGATTCTGATGGTTAATATAAGGATTATAAGGAATAAAAGCAGACATGATACAGATGTTGACTGTGCAGCCCAAATAGATATTTTATGTGGACTCCTTAAAATATTTAATTTTATTAGCATAAAGATCACACACATATATACTTAAGTGTGTGTATGTTTATACGAGTTTCTAGGAAATATTTTATGCAGACATAAAACTTGATTGAAGAAAGTGTTGATACTAACTCCGCACTTTTAAATACTTGGGAGTCAAGTAAAGAAGAATCAGTATTAAAATAGTCATTCTTGGGTTTGAGGATGGGCAAATTAAAAACAAGTACTAATAGGTAAGTAATTTGTGAACAAAGAAGCATCTCTCCAAAAACAGAGGATCAACTCCAACCTTTGCTTTTTGATACAGCTAAGACCCTTCGGACTTATACCTGGCTTCAAAAGTAAGCATCCTAAAATCAAGTACCACCCATGTGTGACACCTAATAATATAATTGTCATTCACAGGGATTAAACCACTTATACTAACATCCAAATCTAGCTTAGTATACAAACGATGTATATGTAATAATATACTGAATAGATAATTTTGAAAAGAAGTGGAAAATATTAATACAAATTACCAGAAATAGAAATAGAATAATTTAAGAGATTCCAGTTTTTTTGAATGAGTGTTGACCACAGTAGGCACTCAAAAAGATTTTGATAAGGTCATATTAACTTTCTTTTCTTCAGTACCTTCTGTAGTGCCCTGAACACTTCTTTGTTGCGGAGGCTATAAATGAGAGGGTTCAGCATAGGGGTGAGAATAGTGTAGAAGGCCGACACCATCTTGTCCTGGTCTGGCGTATGTTTAGAAGCTGGTCTCATGTACATGAACATAGCAGCACCGTAGTAGAGTCCGACCACAGACAGGTGGGAGGAGCAGGTAGTGAAGGCCTTGCGACGACTTTCCCCAGAGCCCATGTGGATGACGGCTCGAAGGACATGGGAATAGGAAAGTATGATAACTGAAACTGGAAAGATTAGCATTACCACACAACAAATGACAAGTAGTCTTTCAAATGCAGATGTTTCTGTGCAGGATAGAGGTAAAAGGGCAGCAACATCACAGAAAAAGTGATGAATTTCCAGAGAGCTGCAGTAAGAAAATGACAGGACAGCTGCAAGCACTATGATCCCATCAAGAGACCCCAAGGTCCAGGAAGCAACAGTCATGAAGACACAGAGTTTCGGATTCATGAGGATGGTGTACTGAAGAGGGTGACATATAGCCACATAGCGGTCATAAGCCATGACAGCCAACAAGAAACATTCAGCTCCAAGCAGGGACACATAGAAGAATATCTGAGTTCCACAACCTGCCAGAGAGATAGATTTCTTCCCAGACAAGTAGCTGAAGATCATCTTGGGTAGAGTGGTGCAGATGAGCATGAGGTCCATAAGGGACAGTTGACTGAGGAGGAAGTACATGGGGGTGTGGAGCTGTTTCTCTATGTAGATGAGGAGAACCATGGAAATATTTTCCATCAATGCCAGTGAGAAGATGCCCAGGACCAGAGAAAAAAGGAAGGTGTGGGTGGGACTGTGATTGAAGATTCCCAGCAGGATGAAGATGGAGTTGAAGGTCTGGTTTTCCCACACCATCCTGGATAATTTGCCTTATCTGAGAATTCCAAAGAAGGTACAAGCTTATTTATCAATTCAGTTTTCAAACACATACTGTGACATACTCTACTGGGCAGTTTATATGCATGCATAAGGCCTTCTCACCAACCTTCAGTTACCTTCCTTTAGTCATGGTAAATTGTGTGGATTAGTCCATTGCTTTTACAATTATTTCCTCATCCAACTTTCACAGAGTATACATGGAGTACATTTGGACATTTACTTTACAGACAAGAATGCTGAAGTGTATAAGAGCTTCCCTACTTACCCACATGTACAGTCAATAGAAAACCTAGGAGAAAAATCACTGTATGCCTTTATTGCTAAATTTTAGGATCATACCTCATAAAAGAAAATTCCTTACAGAATTTTTTCTCCTTCTGTCCTAATATTTCTCCAGGTTAGTAGTCTCGTTGACAACAGAATTCCTGTTCGCATGTTTTTTTTTCCCTACCATCCTACCTGCAGCCCAGTGAAGGATTATATGAGATCAATGACATTACTCCTTGGGGACACCTGTACACTTCAGTTCAGAGAAGGGTATAGTACTCTATGTTTTAACTTTTCTATCTCAGACCAAGTCGTGAAGTCTTGTCTTATTTAATCAAAACCCCCATTAAAATATTTTTCTAAGGAAGACTAAATCGTTCACTTATCTTCTGAGGATAATTTTTTTCCTTCCAATTCTGTGTGGAAAAGAAGCTGCATTTTTTGTTTGTTTATTTGCTTGTTTTGTTTCTATTTTTAATTTTATTAAGTTGATACATTAAAGTTGTAAATATCTATGGGGGCACATTTTGACATTTCAAAACATATATTTTGCATAATGATCAAATCAGGGTATTTAGTGTGACCATCACCTCATGCATTTATCATTTTTTTGTAGTGAGGACATTCAAAAACCTTTGTATTTTTGAAAAAATTGATTTCTTCTTTTTACAATAAAGTGTTATAAATCAAATCGGATAAACATCTAGGGACAAAAGAAAACCCTTCTGTGGTCTTTAACAGCTTCTCTGCAATGTGCTACTTTGGAGACTTACGGGGCGTGTTCTACCACAGTGAGCAAAGGCTCAACTGTATGAAACGTGGCTCATCTCGTGCTGGTTTTCAGAGGGAATGCTTCCAGGTTTTGCTCATTCAGCGTGATATTGGCTATGAGTTTGTCATAAATAGCTCTTATTAATTTGATGTATGTTCCATCAATACCTAGTTTATTGAGAGTTTTTTTGTTTTGTTTTGTTTTGTTTTTGGGGGGGACAGAGTCTTGCTCTGTTGTCAGGCTGGAGTGCAATGGTGCAATCTTGGCTCAATGCAAACTCTGCCTCCTGGTTTCAAGCAATTTTCCCACCTCAGCCTCCCAAGTAGCTGAGATTACAGGCGCCCGCCACTACACCTGGCTAATTTTTGTATTTTAGTAGAGATAGGGTTACACCATGTTGGTCAGGCTCATCTCAAACTCCTGACCTCAGGTGATCCACCCACCTCAGCCTCCCAAAGTGCTGGGATTACACGCATGAGCCACCGTGCCTGGCTATTGAGAGTTTTTAACACGAAGCGATGTTGGATTTTATCTAAGGCCTTTTCTGTGTCTATTGAGATAATCATGTGGTTGTTGTCATTGGTTGTTTATGTGATGAATTATGTTTATTGTTTATTGTATGTTGAACCAGGGATGAAGCTGACTTGATCGTGGTAGATAATATTTTTGATGTGCTGCTAGATTTGGTTTGCTAGTATTTTACTGAGAATTTTTGCCTCGATATTTACCAGGGATATTGGCCTGAAGTGTTCCCTTTTTGTTGTGTCTCTGCCAGGTTTTGGTATCAGGATGATGCTGGCCTCATAAATGAGTTAGGAAGAAGTCCCCTTTTTTCAATTGTTTGGAATAGTTTCAGAAGAATGGTACCAGCTCCTCTTTGTACCTCTGATAGAATCAGGTTGTGAATCCATCTGGTCCTGGGCATTTTTTGGTTGGTAGGCCATTTAGTACTGCCTCAATTTCAGAACTTGTTACTGATCTATTCAAGGATTCGATTTCTTCCTGATTTAGTCTTAGGAGGGAGTATGTGTCCATGAATTTATCCATTTCTTCTAGATTTTCTAGTTTTTTGTGTAGAGGTGTTAATAGTATTCTCAGATGGTAGTTTGTATTTCTGTGGGGTCAGTGGTGATATCCCCTTTATCATTTTTTATTGGGTCTATCTGATTATTCTCTCTTTCTTCTTTATTAGCCTAGCCAGCAGTCTATTTTATTTTATTTTATTTTTCAAAAAATCAACTCTTGGATTCATTAATTTTTTTCAAGGCTTTTTTTTGTGTCTCTATCTCCTTCAGTGTCACTCTGATCTTAGTTATTTCTTGTCTTCTGCTAGCCTTTGGATTTGTTTGCTCATGCTTCCCTAGTTCTTTTAGTTGTGATGTTAGGGTGTCAATTTGAGATCTTTCTTACTTTCTGATGTGGGCATTTAGTGCTCTAAGTTTCCCTCTTAACACTGCTTTAGCTGCATCCCAGAGATTTTGATACATTGTCTCTTTGTTCTCATTGGTTTCAAAGAACTCCTTGATTTCTGTCTCAATTTAATTATTTATCCAGGAGTCATTTGGGAGCAGGTTGTTCAATTTCTACGTAGTTGTGTGGTTTTGAGTGAGTTTCTTGGTCTTGAGTTCTAATTTGATTATGCTTTGGTCTGAGAGACTGTTTGGTATGATTTCAGCTCTTTTGCATTTGTTGAGGAGTGCTTTATTACCAATTATGTAATCTATTTTAGAGTAAGTTCTATGTGGGTGCTATGTGGCACTGATAAAAATGTATATTATGTTACTTTGTACTAGAGAGTTCTGTAGATACCCTCTCTCACCACTCCTATTCAACATAGTATTGGAAGTTATGGTCGGGGCATTAAGGCAAGAGAGAAACAAAGGGTATTCAAATAGGAAGAGAGGAAGTCAAATTGTCTCTGTTTGCAGATGACAATCCTATGCCTAGAAAACCCCATTGTCTCAGCCCAAAAGTTCTTTAAGCTGACAAGCAACTTCAACAACGTCTCAGGATACAAAATCAACGTCCAAAAATTACAAGCATTCCTATGCACCAACAATAGACAAGCAGAGAGCCAACTCATGAATGAACTTCCATTTACAATTGCTACAAAGAGAATAAAACACCTAGGAATACAGCTAACAAGGGATGTGAAGGGCCCCTTCAAAGAGAACTGCAAACCACTGCTCAAGGAAATAAGAGAAGACACTAACAAATGGAAAAATATTCCATGCTAATGGATGGGAAGAATCAATATCATGAAAATGGCTATACTGCTCAATGTATGCCCTTTAATGCTATTCCCATCAAACTACCATGGACGTTTTTCACAGAATTAGATAAACTACTTTAAAAGTCCTATGGAACCAAAAAGAAGCCCATGTAGCCAAGTCAATCCTAAGCAAAAAGAACAAAGCTGGAGGCATCACACTACTCGACGTCAAACTTTACTACAAGGCTACAGCAATCAAAACAGCATGGTACTCGTACCAAAACAGACACATAGACCAACAGAACAGAATAGAGATCTCAGAAATAAGACCTGACATCTACAACCATCTGATCTTTGACAAACCTGACAAAAACAAGCAATGGGGAAAGGAGTCCCTATTTAGTAAATGGTGCTGGGAAAACTGGCTAGCCATATGCAGAAAACTGAAACTGGACCTTTATCTTACACCTTATACAAAAATAAGCTCAAGATGGATTAAAGACTTAAATGTAAAATTCCAAACCATAAAAACCCTAGAAGAAAATCTAGGCAATACGATTCAGGAAATAGGCATGGGCAAAGGTTTTATCATAAAATCACCTAAAGCAATTGCAATAAGAGCTAAAATTGAAAAATAGAGTCTAATTAAACTAAAGGGCTTCTGCACAGCAAAATAAACTATCATCAGAGCAAACAGGCAACCTATAGAATGGGAGAAAAATTTTGGAATCTACCCATATGATAAAGGTCTAATATCCAGGATTTACAAGGAACTTACATTTATAAGAAAAAACAACCCCATCGAAAAGTAGGCAAAGGACATGAACAGACACTTCTCAAAGAAGACATATATGTGCCCAACATACCTATTAAAAAAAAAAAGGCTCAACATCACTGATCATTAGAGAAATGCACATCAAAACCACAATGAGATACCATCTCATAAAGAAAATGTGGCACATATACAACATGGAAAACTATGCAGCCATAAAAAGGAAGGACATCATGTCCTTTGCAGGGACATGAATGAAGGTGTTTCAGTTTTCTAAGAATAATTCATCAGGGCAAACAGGCAACCTATAGAATGGGAACTGAAAACAAAACACCGCATGTTCTCACTCATAGGTGGGAACTGAACAGTTGAAACACATGGACACAGCGGTGGGGGAACAACACACCCTGGGGCCTGTTAAGGGGGTTGAGGGGACAGAAAGCATCAGGACTAATACTTAATGCATGTGAGGCTTAATACCTAGGTGACGGGTTGATAGGTGCAGCAAACCACCATGGCACACATTTACCTATGTAACAAACCCGCATGTTCTGCACATGTATCCTGGAACCTATAATAAAATACAAATTAAAAAAAAAAAATATTTGACTCAGCCCAGTTCAAGATGGGCAGAACTCAGGATGTAGTTGTGTGGAGCAGGGAGCACTACAAGAAATGCATCTGGAGAAATATAAAGAATCAGAGTATTTAAATACATTTCAATTTTGTTTCTAATTAAGCAAATATCAAAGAGGAAATTTATGTTGTGGACTAAAGATGTGAAGTGAAGTAAAATGATTTTGCATTGAGAAAATATCTTGGACATTGCACATTTGATGCTTTGAACAGGTTAGATCTGCGAGCCCGAAGATCATGGAGCAAACACCTTCTTTATCCAAGGGAGCCAGGGTAAAACCCCAGGCAATAACAGTGGAAGAAGAAGATGGTGGAAATAAAATCAACCATCAGGTCTTTGTAAAAAGCTCTCAATTATTATCTCTAGCCCCTCCCCCGCCTTTTTTTCAAACATGGCTCTAAAACATCATATTGTAAAACAGTACCCTGGAGTCCCAAATTAATTATATCCCAAATAAAACTCAATCCAAAGCTAGTCCTGCTGTTATTTCTGCCTGATATACATAACTGCCACCAAATTTTTTTTGAATTTCCAGATTTCAAAGCTTGAAATGATGAAATGTCTTTGTTGTTATTTCCTACTACTATTTTTCAAAATGTATTTAGCTGTATAGAAACATCAATATTTTTGCATACTCATATAATTTTTTTTGATACTGACTATTTTCTGAAGATTATTTACCATTGTGAGTGTTTATCCTTGGTGTTTATTTTTTATTCCACTAAGAAATACTAAGCAGGTAGTAGTTTTCAAATTTATTCTGTGGAATTCAATGAAATTATAAAGAAATCCAATTATCTCCTCTTTTTTCTTGGATGTATCCATGACTCATCCCATAAGTAGACATATAGCAAGCTTTCCTACTTCATATCAGCAAGCTATATATTCAAATTTGTACATCAAACCAAGTATTATACACCCTTAAGGCCAGAGCAGATTCTGTTACATCTTAATGGTATGTGGCATATGCCTATCACAACACTTTATTTATAAAGTGAAAACTAGTTTGAAATCCTTTTGCTGCTAACACCTTCCCCAGGAAATGTTCTGTTTATATCTTGGTACTCTAAATGAACTTCTGCTGATTATAATTAATGGTAAAATCCCTTTTAAAGCAGGAAAACTAAATAACAGAGACCCCTTTACTTATGTTCATGACACACAAAAAGTAACATGGCTTTATTTTATCTTAACTAAATTAAACTGTTATGTCAATATTCCAAAATAAAATTTACATTATCCATTTTAACGTTTAGAAATAGAAGAATGTGATAAATAACAAGATATAGCAAATGTTGAACTAGAGAATAACTCCTCAGCTGGTGACACATTCATTCATTTGTATGATTACTATGTTCTAGGTACTTCTTTTATTTTAATCCTGCAGAGATGTAGAGGGAATCCAAATTTCCTACAAGAATATATAAAAATATTGATGCCTCTCTAAATGAATACAAAATCTAGCCTCATTTTGAAGGTATCAACATAAAGAAGGAGCAGTACCTTTCTTTGCTCTTCCATTTTAAGAATAGAATTGCGTTACAATGTCACATGAAATTGTAAAATCCTCACATTGCTAGAACTATTTTGATTCTTCCATATGATTTTATGCCAATTATTAATGAAAAATGGAGAAGAATGAGGAAAATGATAGAAGGCACTTGACTAAGTGAGAGGAAGAATTAAGTGTCTGGAAGAGAGGTGAAGGCATATGAGGAAAATAAGTGCTAAAATTAGAGCTAAAATAGAAATAAAAAGAAAACAAAATAATATTAAGAGGGCCTGAAGTGATAAGAAATTTTGGAATATTAATGGCGATCAGAGAAGGAGAAACCACATAAACTATGAAGAGATCTAAGTGGGCACAAAGTCTTTGGAAAGAAGCTCAACCCCACTGAGTCCAGCTTTTCCCTAGACCTTGTGATTTTTACCAACCTGAAGATTTCCAACCACATATTGTAGCATATTCAATGTGTCCAGATTTCAAGAATGTCTCACACACTGTGGAATTTAACTAAATCAGATTTTATTAAATTTTTCTTTACTTCGTCTTTATAACATTGATTGTCAGAATTTTATGAATTAGTATATTTCATGAAAAATTAAGAACACAAATAAGAAAACTGGGTACTTTGTGGGAGTGAATCACTTCCCCAATAATTTCTAAACTAAAAATTTACACTGGGTGGTATGTAGAAAATTTTTAAGTCCAAATTTTCATGTATGTTTGAAGCAGTAGATAGACACCACTTGGTATATGATTGTTTTTGTAAATTCATGTTGAGGTGTAGATCCACCAGGTAGAAGATAGTTATGTTTCTCATAAAGCTTCAATAAATATTCAATAAATTAAAATAACCATTAAGAATACTATGTCTCTCTTTCTTCTTTTCCTTCATTTTTAGTATGAAACAGAAAGAGAGTCCAGGATTGCAGGAGAAATGAGGACATTTCCAGGATACTCCACAATTAGGTAGTTGTGAAGAACTACCTAATTGTAATAATCAGGTTGAGGAAGGCTTACACTTGTGTGATTCTGTATAGTGTTCCAAAAGCTTTTTAATGCACATGAACTCGTGATTTTCCTCAATAAAGTCATATAAGGTCAGCACAAGACATAACGGAATTTTTTTTCTTTTAAAGAGTGTTATATGTCTTACTCACAGGTGGTGATCAAGGGGAAAATTCGCCAAATCAGTTCTGGGTTCTTTATACTCTGGAATATAATAATCACTGCCTGAGCTGTATTACAACCTTTTCTTCTTTCTCTTCTAGAAAAGATTCAAAAGCAGCAACTCCAGTAGTCCAAATGACCCACTTGTCCGAAGGCCTATCCACCCTACAGCATCATGGACCTTAAATTCTATACCTCCACAAAATGTTAAATCCCCTGACATCAATTATAGATGGCATGCCTTCTTTCAGAATTTCTCCTAGGAAACAAAATCCATGTGGACCCCAAGGCTCTAGTTACTTTTTGCCAATACTGTCATTCTTTACTTGCTATAAAGTCATAAATGGCTGCCTACCTTTCTTTAGGAAGTAAATTGTGTTAATGAGAAACTTAAATCTTTACAGATTATTAAAATGCGATTAAAATTAAAACAGGGAATATTTATTACAAAGTAAATGAAATCTGTCAACCTGCCTTCTCAATTGTGTTAACATTTTTAACTTATTTCTAGTATATTGTATCAAATACTTAAGCTGGGCCGGGTGCAGTGCTTCATGCCTGTAATCCCAGCACTTTGGAAGTCCAAGGCAGACGGATCACAAGGTCAGGAGATGGAGACCATCCTGGCTAACACGGTGAAACACCATCTCTACTTAAAATACAGAAAAAAAAAAAAATTAGCCGGGCTTGGTGGCACGTGCCTATAGTCCCAGCTTCTCAGGAGGCTGAGGCAGGAGACTCGCTTGAACTCGGGAGGTGGAGGTTGCAGTGAGCCGAGATCGCGCCACTGTACTCCAGCCTGGTGGCAGAGTGAGACTCCGTCAAAAAAACAAAAACAAAAACAAAAACAAAAAAACACCAAATGCTTAAGCTGATATAAATGTAAATAAGCTCTTAGATGCCTAAACGTATGCAAGCATGTGATTGACAATTTAAAGGGGCACTAAAGACTTGTATGTGGCCTATATCTTTAAGATATATCCTTTGCATTTTCCAGTAAATTCACTATACTAATTCAAAACAAGTCTACATTTGGTCTTGCTTCTCTCCACTCTCAAAAGCTTTCATTTGTCTGCAGCAATGACTTTTTTTAAAGTTTAATTTAAGTTCTGGGATACGTGTGCAGAACATGCAAGTTTGTTACATGTGCCATGGTAGTTTGCTGCACACATCAACCCATCATCTAGACTTGTTTAAAATTTATTTATTTTTATTTATTATTATTATTTTTTTGAGACGGAGTCTCGCTCTGTTGCCAGGCTGGAGTGGAGTGGCACGATCTCGGCTCACTGCAACCTCCGCCTCCCGGGTTCAAGCGATTCCCCTGCCTCAGCCTCCCGAGTAGCTGGGACTACAGATGCATGCCACCATGCCTGGCTAATTTTTTTTTTTTTTTGGTATTTTAGTAGAGATGTGATTTCACCATGTTGGCCAGGATGGTCTTGATCTCCTGACCTTGTGATCCAGCCTCCCAAAGTGCTGGGATTATGGGTGTGAGCCACCATGCCTGGCCATCATCTAGGTTTTAAGCCTTGCATGCAACTCCTGGGGAAGGCATGAGTTGAACAGGTGAAGAGTAGCCAGCTTTCAACGTGGATCTCCAGAATTCTGGCAGCACAAGACTCTATGATTCTCAAAGATACTTGAGCTGCAAGGAGAGCTACTTAGAGAGATGACAGGGGCAGGACTCCATCCTGCGTAAAGCCCAGACAGTTTGGCATTGAAGTGACTGCAGTGGATCACAGCCAGGGATGCCCATCCCCCCAGGCTCACCAGGCTCTTCTATAAGGCTTTGGGCGACTGTCAGAACTGGACAGAGCAGATTGGTCTTGCCTGTGGGACAGGGCCAGTCTAATCTGAAGGCTCTTCATCTGCCAGCCTCTTCTGGGTCCCCAGCCTGGCCATGCCTGCTTGCAGCACAGCTTTGGATGCCCAACATATGTGCTTCCTGGGGGCTTTCATCGTCACCACCTTGCCACAGACTGCTCCTGTCAGAGAGCTCCTGCGGACTGGCCCTACAGACATGCACCAGCTGACCTATAGCTCCCCCAGCTGAAGCCTTCCGCTACTGCTTTGCTGGGACACGCCCACTGCTTTCTAAGGGAATTCATCTCCCATCCCTTGCAGGCACAGGTATGCATGTACTCCCTGCCACCCCACTCTACCAGCATGAGTGTACCCTGCCTCCTAGTATTCACAGATGCACAGACAGCCTGTTGCACCCCTACCACTAACACATCTGTGTGCACTGATGCTAGCAACCCCCACCACTGCCAGAGGCCCACCACCACTTATCTGCCACAAAAGCCACTGTGAAAGTGCACAGACACCACTGCCCTGCTCCTGCTGGTTCCCTAGCTCTGAAAATGCACAGTTACCGCACTGCACCTCTGTCATGACAATCAGAGCAAGTGCAAGTCTGAATACCAGCAGCCTCACCCCCACTCTGCCACAACCAGCATGAGCACGTACAGGAGCACTGCCACCCTGCTTCTGCTGATATCCTGCCCCAGTTGATGTTCATGCCTCCCACTGCACTACCAAAAATGCTGATACATGCGAGCAAGAACTAATCCCAATGCTACCACCCTAACTAAGTGCTTTGGCCAGCATGCACCATTGGAGTGTTGTGCCAGTAGACAAGAAGCACCTAAGCCCCTCCAGTGCGGTAGGTTTCTAACATCAAAAGGCCAGAGATCAAAGCTAGGGTCCAGCTCCAGACCCCCAGAGTTAGAACACACAGCCCAAAGGTACTCCATTGAAACTTGGCCCCTAAAAGCTTCCAGAAACAAAGCCATATCATTGAACCCACCATGTACCACAATCAAACTCCCAAGGACATCAAAGAAGATCAAAGCAAAAAAAAAAAAAAAAAAAAAAACAAACACCATCCAAAGGACAGCAGCTTCAAAGACTAAGGGAACATGAGCCCAACCAGACTGGAAAAACAAACAAACAAACAAAAAACAGTATAAGAACTCTGGCAACTAAAAAATGCCAGAGTGTCTTCTTGTCTCAAAATGACTGCATTAACACCCTAGCTATGGTTCTTAAGCATGTTGAAATGGCTGAAATGACAGACATAAAATATGGATAGGAATGGAGACCATTGAGATTCAGGAGAAAATCAACACCCAATTCAAAGAATCTAAGGAACACAATACAATGATATAGGAATGAAAAGATGAAGTGGTAATTTTAAGAAAGAACAAATTGATCTGATAGAGCTATAAAACTTACTCCCAGAATTTCATGATACAATCTCAAGTATTAACTGCGGAACTGATGAAGCTGAGGAAAGAATCTCAGAGCACAAAAACTGGTTGACAAAAATAAAGAAAAAATAATAAAAAATAGTGAACAAAACCTCTGTGAAATATAGGATTATGTAAAGAGATCAAATCCACAAATCATTGACATTCATGAAAAAGAGGGAGAGAAAGCAAGCAACTGGAAAAAATATTTAATAATATCATCTATATAAATTTCCCCAATCATACTAGAGAGGCCAATATTCAAATTTAGGATATTCAGAGAACCCCTGCATGATACTATACAAGATGACCATCCTCAAGACATATAGTTATCATATTCTCCAAATTCAAAATGAAATAAAAAATGTTAAAGGCAGCCAGACAGAAGGGGTGGGTCACCTACAAAGGGAACTCCATAAGGCTAACAGAAGACCTCTCGGCAAAAACCTTATCAGCCGGAAAAGTTTGGGGCCTATATTTGGTATACATAAAGAAAAGGAATTCCCAGCAAGAATTTCATATCCAGCCAAACTAAACTGCATACATGAAGAAAATAAGAGTCATTTCAGACAAGCAAACACTAAGAAAATTTGTTACCATGAGACCTGTCTTACAAGAAATAATTAAAGGACTGCTAAATATGGAAATGAAAGACCATGAAAATGCACACAAGTACATAGACCACTAAAACTATAAAGCAACTACACAATCGAGTCTGCATAATAACAAGTTAACAATGTGATGACAGGATCAAATCTGCAGATATCAATATTAACTTTGAATGTAAATAAGCTAAGTGCCCCAATTTAAAGACACAAAGTGTTAAGTTGGATAAAGAAGTAAAACCCAATGTATGCTGTCTTCAAGAGACAAACATCACTTAATGGCACCCATAGGCTCAAAATAAAGGAATGGAGAAAAGTCTACCAAACAAACAGAAAAAAAGAGGAGAGCCTGGGATCTGTACTCAACCCCTGGCCTAATATACCTAACACACATCTACGGAACTCTGTAACCAAAAAAAAAACAGTATATACATTATTCTCATCTGCACATGTTTATCTACATCCCTTCATATGTCTCTAACTACTGTTAGTGGGGAACATCTACTCCAATTTCAGACAAAACAGTCTGTAAACCAAGAAAGATAAAAAAACACAAAGAAGTGCATTACATAATGATGAAGGGTTTAATTCAACAAGAGGACCTATCTACGTTAAATATTACACAATCTATACAGGAGTACACAGATTTATAAAACAAATAGTTAGAGACATATGAAGAGATGTAGATGAACATACAATGATACTGGGAGACATTGACTCCCCACTGACAGTATTCAAGCCAGGAAATTAACAAAGATACCTGGGATCTGAACTCAATACTTGGCCAAATAGACCTAACACACATCTACACAACTCTCCAGCCAAAGAAACATAATATACATTCTTCTCATCTGCACATGCCACATACTTTAAAACTTGATGACATAATTAGTCATAATATAATTCTCACCAAACTGCAAAAAACTGAAGTCATACCAATCATACTGTTGGACCACAGAAAAATAAAAACATAAACTAATATTTAGAAAATCACTCAAAACATACTATCACATGGAAATTAAACTCCTGAATGACTTTTGGGTAAGCAATGAAATTAAGGCAGAAAGCAAGAAATTCTTTGAAAGTAATGAAAACAAAGGTACAATATACCATAATCTCTGGGACACAGCAGCATTAAGAATAAATTTTATAATGCTGAACTTCCACATCAAAAAAGTTAAAGAGATCTCAAATTAAAAACCTAACATTACACCTACAGCAAGTAGAAAAACAAGAGCAAAGTATCCCAAAGCAAGCAAAACACAAGAAATAAAATCAGTGCTGAACTGAATGATACTGATATTTTAAAAAAACATACAAAATATCAAGAAATCCATGAATTAGTTTTTTGAAATAACAAATGAGATTGATAGACCATTAGCTAGACTAATAAGGAAAAATTTGAGAAGATTCAAATAAACAAAATAAGAAATCACAAAGGGGATAATATCACTGACCCCACAGAAATACAAAAATCCCTCAGAGACTATTATGAACACCTCTATGCATATAAATTAGAAAACTTACAAGAAATGGATAAATTCCTGAAAACATACGACCTCTCAAAATTGAACCAGGAAGAAATGGAAACCCCGAACAGACCAATACCGAGCTCCAAAAGTTGAGTCAGTGATAAACAGCCTACCAAATAGAAAAGTCCCATGCCCAGATTTGATTCACAGCCAAATTCTACCAGATGCATAAAGAAGAGCTGGTACCATTCTTACTGAAACTATTCCAAAATATTGAAGAGAGGGGAATGGTCCCTAATTCATTGTTTCAGGACAGCATTATTCTGATACCAAAACCTGAGGGAGACACACATACAAAAAGAAAACTTTAGGATGATATCCTTGATGAAAATGAATGCAAACATCTTCAACAAAATACTAGCAAACTGAATCCAGCTAATCCACCACAATCAAGTAGGCTTTATTCCAGGAATGTGCAGTTGGTTAAACATACGCAAATCAATAAATGTGATTCATCACATAAACAGAACTGAAAGCAGAAAGCATATAATCATTTCAATAGATGCAGAAAAGGCTTTTGATAAAATTCAACATTCTTTATGACAAACATCATCAACAAACTGACATTGAAGGAACATAATTCAAAATTATAATATCCATCTATGACAAATGCACAGGCAACATCATACTGAATGGGCAAAAGCAGGAAGCATTCTCCTTGAAAACCAGCACAAGACATGGATGCCCTCTATCACCACTGCTATTCAACATAGAACTAGAATTCCTAGTCACAGCAATCAGGCAAGAGAGAAATAAAAGGCATCTAAATGGGAAAAGAGGAAGCCAAGTTGTCTCTGTTTGCAGATGATATGATTCTATACTTAGAATACCCCATAGTCTCTCCCCAAAAGTTTATTGTTCCCATAAACAACTTCAACAATGTTTCAGGGTACAAAATCAATGTACATACATTAGCAGCATTTCTATAAACCAATAATGCCCCAGCTAAGAGCCAAATCATGAGTACAGTTCCATTCACAATAGCCACAAAAAGAATAAAATACAGCTAGCCAGAGAGGTAAAAGAAATCTACAACAAAAATTACGACACTGCTGAAAGAAATCAGAGATGATATAAACAAATGGAAAAACATTCCATGCTTATGAATAGGAAGAATCAATATAGTTTAAATGGTCATACTGCTCAAAGTAATTTACAGATTTAATGCTATTCCTATTAAACTACTGATGACATTCTTCACAGAATTAGAAAAAAACATTGTGCCAGGTGCAGTGGCTCACGCCTGTAATCCCAGGATTTTGGGAGGCCAAGGTGGGCAGATCACCTGAGGTCAGGAGTTGGAGACCAGCCCAGACAACATGGCAAAACCCCATCTCTACTAAAAACTAAAAACAAATTAGCCAGGTGTGGTGGTGTGCACCTGTAATCTCAGCTACTCAGGAGGCTGAGGCAGGAAAATCTCTTGAACCCTGGAGATAGAGATTGCAGTGAGCCAAGATTGTGCCATTGCACTCCAGCCTGGGTGACAAGAGTGAAAATCTGAAAAAAAAAAAAAAATTCTAAAATTTATATGGAACCAAAAAGCTCAAATAGCAATAGTAACCTTAAGCAAAATGAGAAAATCTGGAGGTATCACATCACCTGATTTTAAACTATACTACAAGGCTACAGTAACCAAAATAGCATAATAACTGCTACCAAAAAAAAAAAAAAAAAGACGTATAGATCAATGGAACAGTATATAGAGCCCAGAAATAAAGTTGCACCTACAACCATCTGATCTTCAAAAAAGTCAACAGAAACAAGCAATCAGGAAAGGACACCCTATTCAATAAGTGGTGCTGGCATAGCTGGCTAGCCATATGCAGAAGACTGATACTGGACCCTTTTTGCACCATTATACACAAATAAACTCAAGGCGGATTAAAGACTTAAATGTAGAACCTAAAATGATTAGTACTCTGAAAAATATCCTAGGAAATACCATTTTGGACAGAAGCCCTGGCAAATATTTCCTGAGGAACATACCAAAAGCAATTGTACATAATCAAAAATTGACAAATGGGACTCCATTAAACTAAAGACCTTCTGGACAGCAAAAGAAACTATTAACGGAGTTAATAGACAAACTACAGAAAGGAAGAAAACATTTGAAAACTATGCATTCAACAAAGTCTAATATACAGTATTTATAAGTATTATAACAAACAAATTAACAAGCAAAAAACAACTCCATTAAAAGTTGGCAAAGGATAAAAATAGACATTTTACGAAAGAAGACATAAGTGTTGCCAACAAGCATATGAAAACATGCTCAACATCAATAATCATTACAGAAATGCAAATAAAAACCACAAAGAGATATCATCTCACACCAGTCAAAACAACTATTATTAAAAAGTCTATACATAACACATGCTGGTGAGATTGTAGAGAAAAGGGAGTACTTACACACTGCTGGTGGGAATGTAAATTAGTTCAGCCATTGTGGAAAGGAGTTTGGTGATTTCTCAAACAACTTAAAACAGAACTACCATTTGACCCAGCAATCCCGTTACTGTGTATGTACTCAAAGGAATATAACTCATTTGGCCATAAAGTCACCTGCACATGTATGTTCATTGCAGCACTATTCACAATAACAAAGATATTGAATAAACTTAGATACTCATCAATGGTAGACTGCATAAAGAAAATTTGGTACATATATACCATATAATACTACACAACCATAAAAAAGAATGAGATCATATCCTTTGCAGCAACATGGAAGGAGCTGGATGCCATTATCCTAAGTGAACTAACAGAGGAACTGAAAACCAAATATTGCATGTTCTCACTTATATGTGGGAGCTAAACATAGAATACATGTGGACACAAATGAGTGTGGAAGCTAGGAGGGAGGTTGAGGGTCAAATAACGTCCTTTCAGGTAATATATGTATTAACTGGGTGATGAAATAACCTGTACATCAAACTCCCATAACACAAAATTTACCGATATAAAAAGCTGCGCATGTACCCCGACCTAAAATAAAAGTTAAAAACATAATGTGGAAGTACCAATATTTCCTTCCATTTCTAACAATTTGAGGATTTCATGTTGAAAATAAACTTCTTAGTTCTTACAAGTTTATAGTTGGGTCCTTTCTTTAATTGTTACTACTTTTTCATTATGAAATATCTATCATTGATAATTTTATTTCATTTTACATTGCATTTTATGTTTTATTAAAATAGCTGGACTGAATTTCTTATTAACATTTGCCCAACTAAAATGTTTCTCTGTAATTTTATGGGACTTTATTTTAAACTTACGTAACTACATCTTAAAAGTCAGCCTTTGGCAGCTTTATCTTCTAATGGTTCACCTTATCCAAGCTTATATTTACAGTTTTTCCTGCAATCTTATGTTATGTGTGTGAGTTTGCATGTTACATCTCCATTCCCTTGGCTTCTAATTGTTTAGTTTTACTTTGCCTATGCCTCTAGCTGTTCCACCAACATGTGTCAAATTGTTTCCTTGACTCTGAATTTGAGTACCACATAATTTAGTGAAGCTCTGATTTCTTTTTTTTTATAGACAGAGAAAATCATAACACATCCGTTATGACATGTCAAACTTTGTAAACTTTTAAAGTTTTTTTCCTATGGGAATGATTGTGTACTGTGTCTGGGGCCACAGATAGAATTTGAAGGATACTCTGAAGCTTAGCATGTCAAATTTTTGAACAAATCTTTCTTTCTGAGTCACCTTCATCAATTGTCAATGTATTTCATTTCTGCTCTTCATGCCCCTTTCAAAATAAACTCTGTAATATGGAATTTCATTAAAATTGCTTTAAAATGAGTATAATATTAAGTTTTCTCAGTATAGGGCACTTATGGTTCCTTGCAGGAGGAAGAGACTGGGTGTTTCTGTGTAGCCCAGGGACTTTTGTGTTGTGAATATGAGAATATTCTGCAGATCCTGCTCTAGCTTCAGGCACAGAATGCAGTCACTGAACAATCTTGTAATCTGGGTTTAGGGTTAAGACTTCTGCAGTCCTCTGAACATGGAGGACAGAGCTCTATGTGGCCCAGGCACAGCTGTCTATCCAGACTCCCTCTGCAAGGCTGCACACCTTCTTCATGCTGGCACCTGTAGGAAGTGAACTCTCTTGTCAAATCCCCATATTTTCTGTATGCAGCCACCTGCCCAGACTCTCGTGGCAAATCCTGGTGTGCATTGTATGCAGCTGCCTATGGCCCAAAGGTTCAGGCCAATCAGTGTTTCTTCAGCAAGGCCCCAGCCTCCCACCTTTGACTGTGTGGTTTGTGTCCTCTGAAGGTCTCTAATTGCATACACAGGCTATGGGTTGCTGATTACTTGCCCTCCTGAGAATTTCTTTTTTTTTTTTTTTTTCTTTTTTTATTATTATTATTATACTTTAAGTTTTAGGGTACATGTGCACATTGTGCAGGTTAGTTACATATGTATACATGTGCCATGCTGGTGCGCTGCACCCACTAACGTGTCATCTAGCATTAGGTATATCTCCCAATGCTATCCCTCCCCCCTCCCCCGACCCCACCACAGTCCCCAGAGTGTGATATTCCCCTTCCTGTGTCCATGTGATCTCATTGTTCAATTCCCACCTATGAGTGAGAATATGCGGTGTTTGGTTTTTTGTTCTTGCGATAGTTTACTGAGAATGATGGTTTCCAATTTCATCCATGTCCCTACAAAGGACATGAACTCATCATTTTTTATGGCTGCATAGTATTCCATGGTGTATATGTGCCACATTTTCTTAATCCAGTCTATCATTGTTGGACATTTGGGTTGGTTCCAAGTCTTTGCTATTGTGAATAATGCCGCAATAAACATACGTGTGCATGTGTCTTTATAGCAGCATGATTTATAGTCATTTGGGTATATACCCAGTAATGGGATGGCTGGGTCAAATGGTATTTCTAGTTCTAGATCCCTGAGGAATCGCCACACTGACTTCCACAATGGTTGAACTAGTTTACAGTCCCACCAACAGTGTAAAAGTGTTCCTATTTCTCCACATCCTCTCCAGCACCTGTTGTTTCCTGACTTTTTAATGATTGCCATTCTAACTGGTGTGAGAATTTCATATTGCTTGTCCAGAAAGATGCAGTTTAGAGATTGTTTTGGTCATGGCTTCAGGATTAAGCATGATGGTTAGCTCCTTTTCAATGGGAAATGGGATACTAGTAATTCATGGCGTGCAGTGGCATCACAATTAATCAAGATATCACTCATGGTTTATTGTAATAAAATGCCAATGGAGCACTTGCATTGGACACTTAGATGGCTACTGGACCTGACCCTGAGGGCAGTAATAATGACTGTAAGGACAGTTATGTGTATTGGATTCTTTTAAGTTTGCATATGTATGTCTAGAGGGAAAATGACAAGCTCAGCTCCATTAACTTGCACTTCAGTTCATGACTGGAAAATCAGACAGCTTCCATGTTAGCACCAGAAGTATCTATTTACAATGTTGCCTGAAACAAAACATAAAATTTAATTTTGTAAATTGCAAAGATACAACAACAATTAAATTCATTCTAGCCACATGTTTTTTGTGTGCAAGTTAAGTGGGAAAAAATGAAAATGCCCCAATTAAAAGAAACAGATGAGCAAACTGGTTAAAGAGTCAAGAACCATCAGTGTGCTGTATTCAGGAGACCCATCTCACATGCAAAGACACACATGGGCTCAAAATAAAGGGATGGAGGAATATTTACCAAGCAAATGGAAAGCATAAAAAGCAGGGGTTGCAATCCTAGTCTCTGATAAAAAAAGACTTTAAACCCGCGAAGTTCAAAAAAGACAAAGGAGGGCATTACATAATGGTAAAGGGATCGATGCAATAAGAAGAGCTAATATTCTAAATATAAATGCATGCAATACAGGAGCACCCAGATTGATAAAGCAAGTTCTTAGATACCTACAAAGAGACTTAGACTCCCAGACAATAATAGTGGGAGACTTTAACACCCTACTGTCAATATTAGACAGATCCACAAGACAGAAAATTAACAAGGATATTCAGGATTTGAACTCAGCTCTGGACCAAGTAGACCTGACAGACATCTACAGAACTCTCAACCCCAAATCAACAGAATATACATTCTTCTCAGTGCCACATAACACTTATTCTAAAATCGACTATGTAACTGGAAGTAAAACACTCCTCATCAAATGCAAAAAGAATGAAAATTGTAACAAACAGGCTCTCAGACAACAGTGCAATCAAATTAGAATTCAAGATTAGGAAACTCACTCAAAACCACACTGCTGCATGAAAACTGAACAACCTGCTCCTGAATGACTACTGGGTAAACAATGAAATTAAGGCAGAAATAAAGAAGCTTTTTGAAACCAATGAGAACAGAGAGACAATGTACCAGAACCTCTGGAACATAGCTAAAGCAGTGTTTAGAGGGAAATTTATAGCACTAAATGCCCACATCAGAAATCAAGAAAGATTTACAATCAACACACAAACATCAAAATTAAAAAAAAAAACTAGAGAAGCAAGAGCAAACTAATACAAAAGCTAGCAGAAGACAAGAAATAGATCAGAGCAGAACTGAAGGAGATAGAGACAAAAAATCCTTCAAAAGAATCAATGACTCTAGGAACTGGTTTTTTGAAAAGATTAACAAAATAGATAGACCACTAGCCAAACTAATAAAGAAGAAAAGAGAGAAGAGTCAAATAGACACAATAAAAAGTAGTAAAAGAGATATCACCACTGATCCCACAGAAATACACACTACCATCAGAGAATACTGTAAACACCTCTATGCAAATAAACTAGAAAATCTAGAAGAAATGGATACATTCCTGGACACAGGAACACCCCCCAGAATAAACCAGGAAGAGGTCAAATCCTTGAATAGACCAATAACATTTTCTGAAATTGCAGCAATAATTAATAGCCTAACAACCAAAAGAAGCCCAAGATCAGACAGATTCACAGCCTAAAAATTGAATAGAGACATTTGGTTATACTAAGGTATAACTGACAATCCTGAAATCCCAAGTCATTTTAATCCACCTGCTATAGTCTGAATGCCTGTGTCCTCACAAAATTCTTGTCAAAATTCTAACCCCCAAGATGACGGTAATAGGATGTGTATTTGGGAGGAGTTGATTAGATCATGAACGAGGAGAACTCATGATTGGCATTTGCACATGTATAAAAGAGACACAAGAGAACTAGCTGTCTCTTCTACCATGTGAAGATAGAGCAAGAAGGCTCTGAGTGTGAACTAGGAAGCACACCCTCAAAAGACACCAAATCTGCCAGCACCTTCCTCCAGAACTGCAAGGTTTACATTTCTGTTGTTTATAAGCTACCCAGTTTATGGTATTTTGTTATCCAGCAGCCCAGCTGGACAAAGACACTCCTTTTCCAGTGAAAGCAGCTTGCCCTCTGATATCTGAGTAGCCTTCCTTAGTTGGAAAACATGCAATACCTGTTGGGAAGGCCATTGAAGGTAAACTATCATCATCCTTAGGGCCTAACACAATCACCCCTTGTTGACACTAGACACATAACTAGAGTCAAATTTCAACATGTTCCAAGAGATAAGCTCACACTATGATCTAAGAGAAAGTAGTTAATGCACTAAAATCATTGCAATATTGTGTGAAGCAGGTAGCTAGGCAACGTGTGTGTGAATAAACTCTCAGGATGGCAAACCAAATAGAGAAAAATATAACACTAGATGGGTATAGATGAGTTGATATGGGTAAGTTACTGTCTTTGAGCTTTTCCCAACATGGCCTGAGGCCATTTACTAGAGTAACCATACATTAGGGGAAGAAAGTAGCCACAATTTTGAAGGATTACTAAACGCCAGCTCTGAATGATGCTAATTTCTGGTATGTCAAAACATCATTGTGGTTGACCAGTCAAAGTAGAGACTTATGATGGTCAGGGGATACATGGAGTTGTATCTCACGTCTGATTCACGGTGAGACTTGTTGGTCCACAGAACCACCCTGTTGCTATTTCCCCAGTTCCTGAATGTATAATTGGGATAAGCATATTTAGTAAATATCATACTGGTAGAATCCTGAAGTTGAGAATTTGACCCATGGGATGAGGGATATTATAATGCAAAAGGCAAAATGAAACCACCTGGAACTTCACCTTTCTGCCAAGACAGTAAACTAGAAGCAATGTGTCTCCCTAGGGGAGTTGCAGAGATTAATGCTACTTTCAAAGACATAAAAACAGGTGAAGCAGTGATAACAATCACATCTCATTGAGTTCATCATTGCAGCCTGTGCAGAAGTCAGATGGATATTAGAATATGACTGTGGGCTATCATCAACTTAACCAGAGGGTAAATCCAATAAAACCTGCTGTCTCAAATATTCTGTCTTTTCTGCAGTCAATTATAACAACTCCTGCTACTTGGTATGTGGCCATTAACTTGTTTTCTGTTTTCTCTATAACAATATATAACTACCACAACAGGGAGTTTGCTTTTACCTGTTGGGGCCAGCAATATATATGTTATATCAGGGCTACACAAATTTCTCTACTGTTTGCCATAATATTGTCTGCTGAAATCTTTATTTCCTTGATATTCCAAAGATCATCACATTGGTTTACTATATTGATGAACTTATGCTGATTGGTTCTATTTAGTAGAAAGTAGCAAGGACTTTAAATGCTTTAATAAGGTATATTGAAGTAAAAGGCTAGAAAATAGCCCCAGACAATTTAAAGAATTCACCATCTCAGTGAAGGTTACAGTGATCTAAAACATAAGGAGATATTCCCTCCAAGGTAGAAAACAAGTTGATTTACCTACCAGGACCTACCATAAAGACATAGGCAAATATTTTGGATTTTGGAAGCAGCATAGACCATATTTGAGTGTTTTACATTGACCCATCTACAGAGTCACTGTAAGGCTGTCTGTTTTGAGTGGAGACTAGAGCAAGGAAAGTCTCTGCTGAAGAATCAGGCTGCAGCACAACTGCTCTACACATCAGTGGTGAATGATTTTGCTGACAGTCAAGAACCTGGAAGGAAAAAAATCAGAAGATTGGTGGCAAGGAAGTTTGATGAGGAAGTATGTGGGTAAACCTCTCATAATTGGCATGGATTGTGAAGATATCTGTGTTTTATACAGTCCAAAAGCATCTGTCCCAGAGGAAACTCTTATCCACCATTGAATGAAATTATGCACTGTATAAAACTTAGTCAGCTTCTTTTTCTGGTTAATCGTCCCTGAACAAAATGACCACAGTGGCATGGATGAAGGCTATGCCTGAGCTCAACATTCTAAACTTTCCCTTATCGAAATAACCTGCTTACTCCTATTACTGAGTGCTTATTCTGCAAAAAGCAGAGAACAACACTGAGTTCCTTACATCATATTATTACCCTGGATAACAGACTGCCACCATTAGACCCACACCACAGTAGAGGAAACAAATATTTGTCCTCACTGGAATAAACCCATATTTTGGATACGTGTTTGCCTTCCTTGATGATAATGCTCTGCCAGCACCACTATTGTGGATTCACAGAATGTCTAATCCACTATCATGGTATTCTATGGAGAACTGACTTAGATGAAGGGAAATATTTCACAGCATAGGAAGTGCAACAATGGGATTATGGTCATGGAATCAACTTGTCTTACCACATACCTCATTGCTTAGAGGAAGTTGGCCTAATGGAAGGGTGGAGTTGATTACAAAAATTTAATTGCGGCACCACTCAGGAAACAACCCCTTGATCAGATGGGGTTCTGCTTTACAGGGTATAGCTTTTGCTTATAGAATTCTGCCTCCTTCCTGGCCAGAATCCATGAGTCTGAGAATGAAGTAATAGAAACGGCGTGGCTACTCTCAACATTACATTTAATTACCCATTTGCAGAATATTTACTTTCTGTCCTAGAAATGTTGACCTCTGTTGGTTTGAAGGTTTGGTTCCATAAGGGGAAAGTTATTCCATTGTGAATGCAGCTATAGTAGCCCTGAATTAGAAGATGAAACTGACATTCAACCATTTAATGCTCCTTATGCCACTAAACCAATAAAAAAAAAGAGAGCTTCATTTATGAAGTGGAGTGATTGTTTCTGCTTACCTAGGCAAAATTTTAGTTGCTGCTATACAATTAAAGGAAGAAATTCTTTATGTTGAGCCCAGGTAATTCCCTAGGGTAACTTTTAGTATTTTTATGTCCGATAATAAAATCAATGTAAAATCACAGAAATAAAAAAAAAAAATTGCAGGGTGACTGAAATTGCAGAATGTTTCAAAATAAAGGTTTGGGTCAATTTACCTAGTAAAGAATGGAGTATAGCTGAGGTGCTAGCTCAGGGGAATAATGGAACAGAAATTGAAGAAAGAAACCATAGATGTAAAATATGAACTCATGTCCAGTTACAGAAATAAGAACTGTGGTGGCATTTCATATTTTCTCTGTGCTTGTTACTTTCAGGTGTTCATTTGCATATACTAATCATTCTGTTATTTCTCTTTTATTTATTTATTTATTTTTATTATACTTTAAGTTCTGGGACACATCTGCAGAATGTGCAGGTTTGTTTCATAAGTATGCACATACCATGGTGGTTTGCTGCACGCATCAATCTGTCATCTACATTAGGTATTTCTCCTAATGCTATCCCTCCCCTAGCCCCCCATCCCCCGACAGGCCCCGGTGTGTGATATTCCCCTCCCTGTATCCGTATGCTCTCATTGTTCAACTCCCACTTATGAATCAGAACATGTGGTGTTTGGTTTTCTGTTCCTGCATTAGTTTGCTGAGAATGATGGTTTCCAGCTTCATCCATGTCCCTGCAAAGGACATGAACTCATCCTTTTTTATGGCTGCATAGTACTCCATGGTGTATAGGTGCTACATTTTCTTAATCCAGTCTATCATTGATGGGCTTTTGGGTTGGTTCCAAGTCTTTGCTATTGTGAACAGTGCCACAATAAACATACATGTGCATGTGACTTTATACCAGAATGATTTATAATTTTTTGAGTCTATACCCAGTAATGGGATTGCTGGGTCAAATGGTATTTCCGGTTCTAGATGCTTAAAGAATTGTCACATTGTCTTCCACAATAGTTGAACTAATTTACACTCCCAGCAACAGTGGAAAAGCATTCCTATTTCTCCACATCCTCTCCAGCATCTGTTGTTTCCTGACTTTTTAATGATCCTTATTCTAACTGGCATGAGATGGTATCCCTTTGTGGTTTTGATTTGTATTTCTCTAACGACCAGTGACAATGAGCTTTTTTAAATATGTTTCTTGGCCACATAAATGTTTTCTTTTGAGAAGTGTCTGTTCATATCCTTTGCCCACTTTTTGATTTTTTTTCTTGTAAATTTGTTTAAATTCCTTGTAGATTCTGGATATTAGCTCTTTGTCAGATGGATAGATTGCAAAAACGTTCTCCCATTCCGTAGGTTGCCTGTTCACTCTGATGATGGTTTCTTTTGCTGTGCAGAAGCTCTTCAGTTTAATTAGATCCCATTTGTCAATGTTGGCTTTTGTTGCCATTGCTTTTGGTGTTTTAGTCACAAATTCTTTGCCCATGCCTATGTCCTGAATGGTATTGCCTAGGTTTTCTTCTAGGGTTTTATGGTTTTCGGTTTTACATTGAAGACTTTAATCCATCTAGTATATCCTTCCTCAGGAAGAAACCTAGAACACTGTCTACGTCAGCCTGGCCATATCCTTTCTGCAGTCCTGTTGCCACAGAAACAAAGCCCTGTGTAACGTGCATGAGGCTGTTACCCAGAAGATCACTTGATGAGCAGTAGTTCCTTCTGTGTTCACTGCTGTCATTCTATTTAGCATCTGTATTCCGAAGTCCTTCTACCTCCATTGGCACCTAGACTTAACTCTATGCTCAGGTCACTGTTTGTTGCGTACCTGCTCCCTGGCCTGCTCTCTGGACAGTTTCCTACTTCTTTCCTAGCAGCTCTATACCAGCTTTGCGCCGGCTAAACCAGCAAACTTTACTGCTTTGAACCATCCTTTCTCCACCGAGCTGTGCACCTTTTCCAACTTTGTCCTTCTTGGGTACTCTCCCTTGCCCTAAGTCAAGAAATTCCTAATTTTATACTGAGTTTTAAAATAATATACATTATAGTTACACTTTATTATAGCTAATAATTCTATATATTAAATGTCTCCTTTTTAAAATCCCTGTGTAGTTCCTGTCTCCTGAGTGAACCCAAACTGCCATAGGAACTTGTTCTAATCCCATCTCCAAGGAACTATTATATGGCCAGGTATACCAGTAAGATTTTAGAACTAAAATGTCAGCTATGTAACCCCAAATAATGGATGCTTTATGTATGTATGTGTGTGTGCATATGGTACATGTAGTAGAGCCTGCGGGTAGGAGTCTATAGTACAAGTTTAAAAAGCATAAAAATAATATAAGGCTGATACAAAGATATGTGTGTTAATTGAGCTATGGTTGAATTAATATCATACCTATATTCCTCAAAATAAACAAATGTTGAGGTTTTACCTTCTTATATATTTTACTTCCATTATTTTGTTTGTGATTTAAATTGATATAAATATAAATGGCCTAATTAAATCATCAAATATATATATGTGTGTGTGTGTGTAAATGTGTGTGTGTGTATATATATAAATATATATATATACATATATATATATAAATATATATATACATATATATATATACATATATATATATACATATATATATATACATATATATATATACATATATATATATACATATATATATATATATATATATATACTGCTAACTGAAGAAAAAATATTACACATTATCATGATTAGGGTGTAAACAATAATATTTGCAGGTAATCTTGAATGTCCACTAATAAAATTGCATTTGTAATCAGCAGGACTGATGGAAGTAGGAGTTCGGTGTGTAGGATGAGACAGGAGCAGGGGCTGAAGATGTAAGGGAAAATGGAGATTAGTATTGTTTATAGGTGATATTAAGAGAAAATTTTCTGAACATAAAGAGATACAGCCTCTAGATTTAGAAACAGACTCTGATGGTTTAGTACCAAGCAATTCTAACCATTTTAGTCAACACCAAAGAAACAGAGATATTGAGAAAGAAAGAAGGAACTGCAAAGGGAGCTTACCCTTCACTGTAATCAGAGTGATGGTAATTACTTTAAGAATCAATAATTTATTGAACAAGTTTTTATTGTTCTTAGTGGTTTTAGAAATATCAAAATGTATACTAGATAATTCACACCCACAACAGATATATAATCCTTTATAATATGAATAAAACAAAATGATGTAAAAACATGTTAAATTATTAGTAACAGTGAGTTCAAAAGAGAAATGAGTTCACATAGGATGTTGTAAAACAACACTCTGTAGAATAAATATTGTCCTGTCTGCTGAAAGTAGGTGAGACTGGAAACAAAGACAGGAGCCTGGTTTCTGTTTTTCATAGCCAGCATAAATTTAAATAGTGTCTTTATTCATTTTCCTTATCAGTAATTTCAATTAACTTAGAAAAAAATTATGTTTAAAATTATAAAACAATAACTTTTGGAAAATGCTTCTTTAATACCAGACCAAGAAAAAGAAAAAAAAACTAAGTTAGAAAATAATTTGGATAATTTAGAAACCATATGAGTTTTTAAAAATCAGTTTTTGGCCTGAATTAAATTATCTATACTTCAGTATAACCATAGATCTGTGGATATAAATGAATCTATCTTAATAAAAAGTACATTATATTTAGAAGCAGGTTTTACAAAATTTATTTTCCTTATTTGGCCAAGTGATTTAAGATAACTATAATTAATTATGCATTTTGCTTAATTGTTAAAAAGATAAGGATTATTGAATATTTTCTTTCTTTCTTTCTACCTAATATATAAATGGTTGTGATGCATATTCTAGAGTCATTAATGTATAGCATTATGAATTAATATTTAAAATATTTGATGGCTATTAGTATACTTCTTGTTTCATGTACAGTTTCACTATTTATTTCAAGGTAAGGCACATGTACTGTAGTCATGTAATAAAGTCTAAATGTTATTCTCTTTATGTATTACTTTGAGCCACTGTGGAAATATCTATTTGACCACTTAATCTATATGCTGGACATGATTTTCTTTAAAAGGACTTCAAAGACTGGAAATATATTATAGGATTTTACATTGTTCCATAAACTCTAATCCTATTCAAAGAGCAGAAATGCTAAAACAATTGACCAATTTTAGAAAAATTTGATTCTCTTGTGAATCAATAATATAAATAAAGCCTGTGCAACTAAGATTAAATGATTTTCCTTATAGGGAATGTGACAGCAATAGAGTTATTACAATTTTATTTTATGGCAAAACCCCATCTCTACTGAAAAATACAAAAATTAGCTCAGCCCATGCCACTTGGCCAAATTAGGAAATTAAATTTTGTAATATCTGCTTCTAAGAATAATGCACTTTTGATTGAGATAGATTTCGCATGGGCCCTGAGAGATTAGCAGGCCCCTGTAGTCTCAGCTACTTGGGAGGCTGAGGCAGGGAGAATTGCTTGAACCCGGAAGGAGGAGGTTGCAGTGAGCCAAGATCGCACCACCGCACTCCAGCCTGGGCCCCAGAGCGAGACTCTGTAATTAAAAAAAAAAAAAAATTACTATTATGTAAAAATATACTTACATTTGAAAATTCAGAAACATTTACTTATATTCTAAATTTCAATATAAGTCCTGTAATTATTAATAAAATGTTTAAGTATCATTGTGCAGTTTAGGGGCACATGTAAATTATCTATCCACTGAGAATTTAAATAATGAAACAATTTCTCTGTTGGATCAGTGTGTGAAGCTTAGATGAATTTTAACAACTTGAAAGAAATTTGGATCTGGGATCCCATAATAAAAGTTAACTTTTTGTGATGGAAGTAATTAGAGATCAAATGTTAAGATGTCACCTGGGTTGAAGTCACAGCAGCATCTCCAAGAGTCCCCCCAAAATAAAAATGACTATAAAATACAGACTAAAAATGTAAAAGTCCAGTGTATTAACTTTTACTCCAAAGTGAGTTTCAAGAGTCTCAATAAAATTTTGAGTTTATACCCTGGGAAAAGAAGATTTGTTTGCTACCTTGGTGCATACTTCAACATTTATGATACTGAATAAACAGAAAACTTTAATGTCCTGACTAGGATTAAGATGGTGGATAGGAGGCAGGACTAGCTTGCAGCTCCCACTCAGATGGACAGAGTGTCTCAAGTGTCCATGTGAAGAGACCACCAAACAGGCTTTGTGTGAGCAACAAGGCTGTTTATTTCACCTGGGTGCAGGTGGGCTGAGTCCGAAAAGAGAATCAGCAAAGTGTGGTGGGATTATCATTAGTTCTTACAGGTTTTGGGATAGGCAGTGGAGTTAGGAGCAATGTTTTGGGGGCAGGTGGTGGATCTCACAAAGTACACTCTCAAGGGTGGGGAGAATTACAAAGAACCTTCTTAAGAGTTGGGGAGATTACAAAGAACCTTCTTAAGGGTGGGGGAGATTACAAAGAACCTTCTTAAGGGTGGGGGACATTACAAAGTACACTGATCAGTTAGGGTGGGGCAGAAACAAATCACAATGGTGGAATGTCATCAGTTAAGGCTATTTTCACTTCTTTTGTGGATCTTCAGTTGCTTCAGGCCATCTGGATGTATACGTGCAGGTCACAAGGGATATGATGGCTTAACTTGGGCTCAGAGGCCTGACACAGAATACCGTATGGAAACTCACATTGTGAAATTTTGTGCCAAGAACTACTGCAGTAACATACCAGGAAAGCTGAGAGAATCCACAGATCCTTTGAAGGAACTGGATCACCACTGCAGGCTCCCTGAGACAATGAAAACCTGTGAGTCTGTTTGCTTTCTCAACAGAGAGGCTCATGGTCTGGGGCAAATTCTCAGCCCTGGTCACCAGCTGCCTGGAAATAGACTTGGTGCTGTTGTGTGGGCACGGTGGGAGCACGACTGGCCTTTAGGACTGTGGGCTGTGTGGATGCTGAGTGAAGCTGGTGACTGCCGGCTTTCTCCCACTTTTCTGGTGACCTATGTGTTGCAGCAGAGGCAGCCATAATCTCCCTAGGAATATAACTCCAATGGACTGGAAACCACACCCCCATCTGCCACAGCAGCAGCAGCAGCAAGCCCCACCCAAGAAGAGGCTGAACTCAGACACAGCCATCCCTACCCTGACCTGGTGGTCTTTCTCTATCCACCTTGGTAGCTGAAGACAAACGTCATAATCTCTTGTTACCTCTATGGCCTCACCCATCACCTGAGAAACCTGAATACTTGACCAGGTGTCCCTAGGGCAAGTTTGCATCCTCCCTAAGGGCCGCTGATGCACTCTGGAAAGCACTACCTCCTGGCTGAAGGCCAACAAAACAAGCAGCACAATAAACAAAAACACAACCAAAGACCCTAGCAGAGTTCCTTTCACTCCCCTGCTACATCGACTGGAGCAGGAACTGGTATCCATGGCTGCAAGACCTGAAGACAGATCATATTACAGGATCTTTGCAGACACTCCCAAGTACCAGTATGGAACCTGGTAGCTCCACTGTGTGGCTAGACAGCCACTACAGTTTGGCTCTCAGGAAGCCTCATTCCTAGGGGAATGAGAACACCACATCGAGGGAGCACTCAGTGGGACAAAAGACACTGAACAGCAGAACTTGAATCCCAGGTCTTCCCTCTGACATAGTCTACCCAAATAAGAAGGAACCAGAAAAAAAAATTCTGTAATATGATAAAACAAGGTTCTGTAATACCCCCAAAAGATCACACCAGTTCACCACCAATGGATCCAAACGAAGAGGAAATCTCTGAATTGCCAGAAAAAGTATTGCCAATTATTAAGCTAATCAAAGAGGCACCAAAGAAAAGTGAAGTCTAATGTAAAGAAATAAAAATCATGATACAGAAAATAAAAGAAAAATTCTTCAGTGAAATAAACAGCATAAATAAAAACACTCACAACTTCTAAAAATCAAGGACACACTTAGAGAAATGTGAAATGCACTGGAAATTCTCACCAATAAAATCCAACGAGCAGAAGAAAGAACCTCGGAGCTTGAAGACAAGGCTTTCAAATTAACCCAGTTCATTCAAGACAAGAAAAAAAACCTAAAAACAAAGCCTCCAAGAAGTTTGATACTATGTCAAATGTCCGGACCTAAGAATAATTGGTGTTCTTGAGGAAGAAGAGAAATCTAAAAGTCTGGAAAATATATTTGAAGGAATAATAGAGGAAAATTACTACCAGCCTTGCTGGATCTAAACATCCAAACTCAAGAAGCTCAAAGAACACCTGGGAAATTCATGACAAAAAGATCATTCCCTAGGTACATAACAAGTTATCTAAAGTCAAGGCAAAGGAAAAAATGTCAGCCGTGAGAGAAAAGCATCAGGTAACCTGTAAAGAAAAACCTATCACATTGATAGCAGATTTATTAGCAGATTTATTAGCAGAAGCCCTACAAGCTAGAAGGGATTGGCGCCCTATCATCAGCCTCCTTAAATAAAATAATTATTAGCTAAGAATTTTGTATCCAGCGAAGCTATGCTTCAGAAATGAAGGAAAGGCACCATCTTTTTCAGACAAACAAATGCTGAGAGAATTCAACACTATCAAGCCTGCACAACAAGAACTGCTGAAAGGAGCTCTAAACCTTGAAACAAATTCTTGGAATACACCAAATAGAGCCTCCTTAAAGCATAAATATTACAGGACCTATATAACAATAACATAATGAAAACAAACAAAAAAACTTCAGATATTCAGGTAACAAATAGCACGATGTATAGAATAGTACCTCACATCTCAATTCCGACATTGATGTTAGTGGCCTAAATGTTCCACTTAAAAAATACAGAATGGCAGAATGGATAAGAATTCACCAACCAAGTTTGTGCATCTTCAGGAAACTCACCAAACACATAAGGACTCACATAAACTTAAGTTAAAGGGGTGAAAGAACATATTCCATGCAAATTGACACCAAAAGCAAGCAGGAATAGATATTCTTATATTAGAAAAAAACAAACTTTAAAGCAAGAGCAGTTAAAAAAAGACAAAGAGGGACATTTTGTAATGATAAAAGGGCTAGTCTAACAGGAAAATATTACAATCCAAAATATATTTGCACATAACAGTGGAACTCTCAAATTTATAAAACAATTACTACTAGACCTAAGAAAGGAGATAGATGACAATGCAATAATAGTGGGGGACTTCAATACTCCACTGAGAGCACTAGACAGGTCTTTAAGACAGAAAGTAAAAAAAGAAACAATGCACTTAAACTATATGCTACAAGAAATGGGATTAACAGATATTTACAGAACATTCTACTAAGCAACTGCAGAGTATATATTCTATTCATCAGTACACAGAACATTCTCCAAGATAGACCATATGATAGGCCAAAAAACAAGTCTCAGTGAATTTAAGAAAATCAAAATTATATCAAGTACTGTCTCAGACCACAGTAGAATAAAATTGAAAATCAACTCCAAAAGGAACCCTCAAAACCTTGCAAATACATGGAAATTAAATAACCTGCTCCTGGATGATTATTGGGACAACATTGCAATCAAGAGGGAAATTTAAAAATTCTTTGAACTGGATGATAATAGTGACAAAACCTAGCAAAACTTCTGGGATACAGCAAAAGCAGTGCTAAGAGGAAAGTTCATTCCATTAGATGCCTACATCAAAAAGTCTGAGACAGCACAAAGAGATAATCTTAGGTCGCACCTCACAGAACAGGAGAAACAAGAACAATCCAAACCCAAACCCAGAAGAAGAAAAGAAATAATGAAGATCAGAGCAGAACTAAATGAAATTGAAACAAAAAAAATACAAAAGATAAATGAAACAAAAAGCTAGTTCTTTAAAAAGACGAATAAAGTTGATAGACCATTAGCAAGATTAACCAAAAAAGAATAGAGAAGATGCAAATAAACACAATTAGAAATGAAAAGGGAGATATTACAATTGATTCCATAGAAATACAAATGATTAATCAAGGCTACTATGAACACCTTTGTGCAGATAAACTAAAAAACCTGGAAGAGATAACCAAATTCCTGGAACTATACAACCCTCCTGGATTAAAAAAGGAAGATATAGAATCTCTGATCAGACCAGTAACAAGCAGCATGACTGAAATTGTAATGAAAAAAATTGCCAAAAAAAAGTCCAGGACCAGACAGATTCACAGCTGAATTCTATCAGACATTCAAAGAAGAATTAATACCAATCCTATTGACACTATTCCAAAGGATAAAGAGGGAATCCTTTGTAAATCATTCTGTGGAGCCACTGTCACCCTAATACCAAAACCAGTGAAAGACATAACAAAAAAAGAAAACTACAGACTACAGACCAATATCCCTGATGAACATAGATGCAAAAATCCTCAACATAATACTAGAGAACTGAATCCCACAGCATATCGAAAAGCTAATCCACCCATAATTAAGTGAGTTTCATACCAGGGATGTAGGGATGGTTTAAGATACATAAGTCAATAAATATGATACACCACATAAACAGAATTAAAAACAAAAATCACATGATCATCTCAATAGACAGAGAAAAAGCATTTGATGAAATCCCACATCCCTTTACAATTAAAATTCTAAGCAAAATCAACACGAAGGGACATAGAGGTGACGTTAAGGTAATCAAAGCCTTCTATGAGAAATCCACAGCAAACATTATACTGAAAGGGGAAAATTGGAAAGCATTCCCCCTGAGAACTGGAACAAGACAAGGATGTCCACTTTCACCATGTCTGTTCAAGATAATACTGAAAGTCCTAGCTAGAGCAATCAGACAAGAGAAAGAAATAAAGGACATCCAAAATGGTAAAGAGAAAGGAAAACTGTCGCTGTTTGCTGATGATACGATGGAATACATAGAAAACCCTAACGGCTCATCTAAAAAGCTCCTAGAACTGGTAAATAAATTCAACAGTTTCAGGACACACAATTAATGTACACAAATCAGTAGCTCTGCTATATACTAATGGCAACCAGCTGAGAATCAAATCAAGAACTCAACCCTTTCATGACAGAAGCAAATAATATAACAACAACAACACAAAATATTAAGGAGTATACCTAACCAAGGATGTGAAAGACTTCTACAAGGAAAAATACAAAACACTGCTGAAAAAAATCATTGACAACACAAATAAATGGAAATACATCCCATACTCATGGATGGGTAGAAACAATATTGTAAAAATGACCATGCTGCCAAAAGCAATTTACAAATTCAATGCAATTCCCACTAAAATATCACCATCCTTCTTAACAGAACTAGAAAGAACAATCCTAAAATTCATATGGAATAAAAAAGTCCTGCATAGCCATAGCAAGAATAAGCAAAAAGAACAAATCTGGAGGCACCACATACCCAACTTCAAATTATACTATAAAGCCATAGTCACCAAAACAGCATGGTACTGGATAAAAATAGAGACATAGACAGACAAAACAGAATAGAGAACCCAGAAATAAACCAAAATACTTACAGCCATCTGATCTTCAACAACACAAACAAAAACATGAAGTGGGGGAAAGAACACCATATTCAACAAATGGTGCTGGGCTAACTGACAGGCCACATGTAGAAGAATGAAACTGGATCCTCATCGCTCACCTTATACAAAAATCAACTCAAGATGGATAAAAACCTTAAATCTAAGTACTGAAAACATAAAGATTCCAGAAGATAACATCAGAGAAATCCTTGTAGACATTGGCTTAGGCAAGGGTTTCATGAGCAAGAACCCAAAAACTAATGCAATAAAAACAAAGATAAATAGCTGGGAACTAATTAAACTAAAGACCTTTTGCACTGCAAAAGGAACGGTCAGCAGAGTAAATAGACAACCCATAGAGTGGGAGAAAATCTTCACAATTTATACATCTGAGAAGGGATTAATTTCCAGAATCTACAAAGAACTCAAACAAATCAGCAAGAAGAAAACAAATGATCCCATCAAAAAGTGGGCCTAGGACATGAATAGACAATTCTCAAAAGGAGATATATAAATATATATAAATAGCCAACAAGCATCTAGAAAAATGCTTGACATCACTAATTATCAGGGAAATGCAAATCAAAACCACAATGCAATACCACCTCACTTCTGCAAGAATGGCCATAATCAATCAAACAATAATAGATGCTGGTGTGGATGCGGTCAAAAGGGAACTTTTACACTGCTGGTGGGAATGCAAACTAGTTCAACCACTGTAAAAAACAGTGTGAACATTCCTTAAAGAACTAAAAGTGGATCTACCTTTTGATCTAGCAATACCACTACTAACTACACAGAGGAAAAGAAGTTATTATACAAAAAAGATACCTGCACATGCATGTATAAAGCAGCACAATTTGCAATTGCAAAAATATGGAACCAGTCCAAATGCCCATCAATCAACGAGTGGATAAAGAAAAGGTTATATATATATATGTGTGTGTGTATATATATACGTATATATATATATATCTATATACACACATACCATGGAATACTACTCAGTCATAAAAAATACAAAATAATGGCATTCACAGCAACTGGGATGGAATTAGAGACTATTATTCTAAGTAAAGTAACTCAGGAATGAAAAACCAAACATCATACGTTCACATTCATATGTTGAAACTAAACTATGAGACAAAAAGTCATAAGAATGATACACTGGACTTTGGGGACATGAGGGAAATACGGGGAATGACAAGTGATAAAAGACTACACATTGGGTACAGTGAATACTGCTTGGGTGATGGGTGCACCAAAATCTCAGAAATCATCACTAAAGAACTTATTCATAAAACCAAACACTACCTGTTCTCCAAAAACCTATGGAAATTAAAAATAATTTTTAAAACTTTAATATTCTTATTGGAAATGACTTACATTGTGGTCATAGCAGAAATGAATATAAAATAATAAATAGTTATAATAGTTTATCTGAAATAAATTATATAGGTGCACATAAATATGTCATTGCAGATTTATGTACACAATGAATCCCATTTTCAAGGCTTAATGGAAAAATAGGACCATTTAAAAAAAGGATTTAGCACACAGCAAAACATGAAGTTTATTAGGTAACTCACTCTCCAGACTTGCCCTTTCCTAAGATCTTCATGAATGCTCTGGTCACCTCCTTGTTGCGGAGGCTGTAGATGAGGGGATTCAACATGGGAGTGAGGATGGTGTAGAATACAGACACCATCTTGTCCTGTGTTGGGGAGCGATCAGATGTGGGCCGTATGTACATGAACAAAGCTGCTCCATAGTACATTCCCACCACCAAGAGGTGAGAGGAACAAGTAGTAAAAGCTTTGCGACGACCCTCTCCAGATCCCATGTGAATGACAGCCAGGATAACTCGAGCATAGGAAGCAATGATGATTGCAACAGGGAAAACAATCATTACTATACAGCAGATGAAAAGAATCTTTTCAAATATTGATGTGTCACTGCATGAGAGGATTAGTAGGGAGGGGAAGTCACAGAAGAAGTGGGCTATTTCCCGAGACCCACAGTAGGAGAAGGAAAATGTTGCTACAACATCAATAATTCCATCCGTAGAGCCCAGGATCCAGGAAAAGGCAGTCATAAGTCCACAAATTTTAGGGCTCATGAGATTGGTGTATCTTAGAGGGTGGCAAATGGCAGTGTAGCGGTCATAAGCCATAACAGCCAAAAGAAAGCACTCAGAGCCAAGCAGTGATGTATAGAAGAAAATTTGTGTGGCACAACCAGCCATAGAAATGGACTTGCTGCCAGACAGGTAGTTGAAGGCCATCTTGGGTACGGTGGTGCAGATGAGCATGAGGTCCATGAGGGACAGTTGGCTGAGGAGGAGGTACATGGGGGTGTGGAGCTGGGTGTCCAGGTAGATGAGGAGAACCATGACAGAGTTTCCCATGAAGGCCACTGAAAAGATGGCCAGGACCAGAAAGAAGAGGAAGGTGTGGGTGGGGCTGTGATTGAAGATTCCCAGGAGGATGAAGTCGGAGTTGAAGGTCGAATTCTCCCTTGCCATGATGTGTATGCTTTTTACCTAGTACCACAAAACCAGCGTATTAATTTGGTAAAACTTTACTCAGTGCCTTATAAATCATGTGATTGTGGTAACTTCTGTAGTTGGGTGATCAATACAGCATGAATAGAAGTAGGAAACTAAAAGGTCAAGAAATATAGAATCTGAACGAAATATGTTCTTTCAACACTGTCTCACGAAATTATAGAGCTTGTCCTAAGGTTTTCTTCTGAGCATCCCCTTTCTCCATTGAAAAATTAGAATTATAGTATCTAATAAATAATGGATGGAGTTTTTTTTTTTTTAAAGTCTCCAAGGGAAACAGATAGTTCCTATAAAATTAGAAGTCTTTTACAGACACATTGATAGAGAAATTCAGCTTCAGTCAGCATGTGACCATCACAGTACTAGAAATGGAGAATAAATGTGTGCCTTTGCTCACATAATAGTAGACATTTTTACTAGGAGTGTTAACAAAATCTGTTTGTCTATTACTTTAGAGTGTTTGATGTACACTTTGTAGTAAGTTTTCTATACAGTAATTGGATACACTGAAAAGATTTTCAATTATACAAATCTAAAACCTAGGCCATTTTTTCCATAGCCCAGTGTTACGGATTGAGTTGTATTTCTTCCCAAAAAGATACTCAGCATGTGAGCTTGTTTGGAAATACATAAAGAGTGTAACTAGTTAAGGTGAGATCATATTGGATTAGAGTGGGTTTCTCTAATCAGTTATGACTCATGTTCTGATAAGAGGGTGGCCATGCAAAGACTGAGACACTGGGGATTACCGTGTGATGGGGGAGGCAGGGATTAGAGTGGTGCATCTGCAAACCAAGAAATGTCAACAACTGTTAGTTATGACAAGAACCTGGGAGAGAGGAATGGGACAGATTCATCTGCTTAGAGCCCTCAGAAGTAACCAACCCTGGTGACATCTTGATTTCAGATTTCTAGCCTCCAAAACTGTGAGAGAATAAAATTCTGTTGTTTTAGGTAACCAGTTTGTGATACTGTATTGGCATTCCTAGGAAACTAATACATCCAATATCTCCTCTAGAGAATGAGTACATACAAAAACAGAAATTCAGAAAAGCATGAAATCCACTCTTTCCAACCACACTTATGAAGCCTGGCTACGTGTTGACCACTGTGGCTACCACAGTGATCAGAACAAAGTCCCTGTGCATACAGGTCACAGTGAGTGTGATCAGATGATGACATATAAAACAATTTATGTTATAAGAGGATAAATGCAGCCTCATCATTCTATGCAGCCATAAAAAATGATGAGTTCATGTCCTTTATAGGGACATGGATGAAATTGGAAATCATCATTCTCAGTAAACTATCGCAAGGACAAAAAACCAAACACCGCATGTTCTCACTCATAGATGGGAATTGAATAATGAGAGCACATGGACACAGGAAGGGGAACATCACACTCTGGGGACTGTTGTGGGGTTGGGGGAGGGGGGAGGGATAGTATTAGGAGATATACCTAATGTTAAATGACGAGTTAATGGGTGCAGCACACCAGCATGGCACATGTATACATATGTAACTAACCTGCACATTGTGCACATGTACCCTAAAACTTAAAGTATAATAATAATAAAAATAATAAAAAAAGAGGATAAATGCTTTGGAGAAAACTTAGTTAAAGAAGGGCATTAGAATTGCATGAGTATGTTCAACTTTGAATAGAGTAGTCAAGGGAAACCTCACACTTATAATGGCATTTGGCAAAGACACTGAGGAAGTGAGAAAGAGACCAGATCACAGGAAAGGGTTATCCAAATAGGAATTCCACAAACTGAAATGCATAAATAGAACATACACAGAAAAAAATAGAAATGTGTATAAGATTTTGAGAAAACACAGGGTTTTAAAATTTAGAATTATGTTTCTCGTATGTTGTGGCATTTAGATTTTATTGTATGAGATAATTATAAATGTATGAGCAAAGCCAATATGTGAAGGGAGATTATCCCAGGCAGTAAAAAATTATGTTCTAAACAGAAAAAGAAGCCTGGTGAGTAGACTTATTAGACAGAAATGTACATTTTCTCATTTATTCATGCGTCACATTTTTATGAAGAGACTGAAAACAACAACAACAATGAAAGCTGAATAATCTAGGAAGAGCAAGGGAGTTGGAAGAAATCTACAGAGGAGACGGAATCTGGAATTTGGCCTCATGAGTTGAGATAAAACTTTTTAAATAGGGAGATAGTAAAGTATATCTTTTTGACTTTTATTTATTTATATAAATTTTGAATAATATTGTGTGTAAGAAAAAAATACTCAAAAGTAATGTTAAATTTTAACCCAAGGACAACTTTGACCTGGGAATACTAAGAAATGCCTCTTAAGGGCTGGGAAGATGCAGAAGGAATCTCCTTAAGTGACACTCATGAGATAGGATAGCAATCTCTAAAAGAAAAACAAATCATTTTTGTCAATCAGTATAAAGAGAGAAACAGGCCTCAACCTCCTCCCTTTCTGGTGTTAAAACAAATGGTTACCAAGAAGTTGGATAAAGCTGATTATTGGTAGCTCAGATCTAGGTCCAGTCAATGTCTTGAGAATGAGAAATGGGCATCTCTGGGATCTTCAGTGTTGGGGGTTTCCTACCACAGGGTTCCCTTGTGTTGTCTTCAAGAGGAGGTAGGCTTTTAAAGTCAATCAGGGGGAAAGACTTTGTATTGCCTCAATAATTTTCAGTGCCTATGAGCTTAATTCATCTTAAGAAAATAACTCGTCTCAACTTACTTTATGGAACCACCTATTCTGACCATTATACCATAGCCTTCCCAGTTACCTTGAAGTTGTCAACTGTTGTAATACACTAATTTATGCAAACAAAACTATATTACCTCAAAGTTCCACCATAATTTTTCTTTAAGTAGGTCTGCAATATTACTCCAAGAAGGAAGCTGTCTTGTCAAGTTAGCTTGTTCCTATGCTTCTTTTTAAGTTGGCAAAGTGTTCTTTACATTTGAGAATCATTCCTTCCCAGTCACCAAATTGACATAAAATGTTGAATAATTCTACTCCATCATTTATCCATTTCCACCACATATGTTTTAAACTCCACTGAATCATGAAGCATTAAAACAAAATTGAATAACAAGTGTAAATCTACATATCCCTCTGAATTTTCTCAGTTACATTAGTTTAGGCTGAACTTATATAAATGCACTATTATTTGTGTTGTATTTTTCACCTCCTTCATATCCATGTGCTAAAATTGTCTTCATTGAGTTTGCCCTGTCACGGAGAATATGGCAAGGTATATCATAAATTTATAAAAATTTAGAAGTCACAAAATTGAAAATATTGACTATTACATTGCCCTGTACCTTTAGTATTAAGATCCATGTGAATATTTATTCAATAAAATTCTATAAAAAGAACTAATGTGTTACTCATGAGGAAATTAAATATTTCTTCTAAGTTAGTAAGACACATATGACAGATTGTGCTTAATTTAGGCACTAGGAATATGAGATCCAACTCTGAAAGTCATTGTAAGTTATCCAGGATATAAACAATCTGAAAATGCAGTAAAGATAAAATTGGGATTCAAAGAGGTATTTGTATGTAGTCTTATAAAAATGGACCTGTGGCGAAATATTTTTTGCAACTCCAAGTTACTCAGGACTATTCACTGTCAAAAAAAACCAGAATATTTTGAGTTGCAGCACTGTATTAAGAGGAATAAAAAAGGCAGCTTTTTCAGAAAGGATCTGAAATTATGACATCTTGTTTATTTTATTTTTTTCAGAATACCCACTGGCATATCAAAAGTATTCACATAATGAGGTACAACATTTTGAACTCTGGATTAGACATTGCCTGCCAAGTATTTTTTTCTTAATTGTAATATTGTGCTTCCATTTTTATTTATTTCATCTAATCTACTATGTTTCTTTTGTAATAAACTTCATTGTTTTGTAAAAAGATGGTGCATATATTTAATATTAAAAATTATTTTTATGTATGAATCTTATCACATCAGGAAGACGACTCATCAGATTTCATCACACTGTGGTGCTGTGCCCAGGCCCAGAGCAATAGTAACACAGAAGTCATGAAAATCATGGTCATATTTCATGACACTGTGACATTTGCACATACCCAGGGCAATAGTAACATAGAAACCATGAAAATCATCATCAGATTTCATGACACTGTGGTACTGTGCACAGGCCCAGAGCAATAGTAACACAGAAGTTATGAAATTCATGGTCATATTTCATGACACTGTGATACTGTGCACATGCCTGAGCAATGCCAACACAGAAATTATGAAAATCATGATGAGATTTCATGACACTGTGATACTCTACACCTGCCAGAGCAATAGTAACACAGAAACCATGAAAATCTTGTTGAGAAATTGAGAAGTCACTGAGGGAGATGATGGAAAAGAGACACTGAGTGGCCAGAATTTGATCAAAAAAGTTGTAAAGCATTATGTATCAGACAGCATGTGTAATCCACTGTGTAATCCACTGAGGTTGCTAAACTGACTTTACCCTTTTGTAATAGGAATGATCAGGAAACAACACAAAACAACAAATCTCTCATATTAGCAAAAATGAGCATAGCAACTTTATATGTAATATAAAAATGCAACCTGCATGTGCACTAACGATGGAATTTATAAGCATAACTACAAGAAGTAGCATTGATGAGTCTCACAAATAGAATGTTGAATGAACAAAGTAGATCACAAGGAATGCCCTCATGAATCCTATTATGAGTAATTTAAACACACATCTAAAAATCACTTATGAAGCACAGCAATACTGGAATAATGACTACCTACAAAATGGGCCTGAAAAGTTATATAATCAGAGAGAGTTAAACTGTTTTTCAAAGGCACTGGTAATATTTTAAAGCATTTTACAAAATGTATATCTAACATATTTTTGTAAATAAACATTTTATACTCTGAAGTTTAATAAAATATTTTAAAAATAGGTGTAAACGTCTTAAAAGAATACATGACAAATGTAAAGCATTCATTAATACGGGTTGAGGATTCCTTATCCAAAATGCTTGGGACCAGACGTGTTGCAGATTTCAGATTCTTTTTCACACTTTGGAATATCTGCATAGCTAATAATGAGATTTTTTTGGAATAGAACCAAGTGTAAGGAAAAAATTTATGTTCTATGTATACCTTATACAAATAGCCTGAAGGTAATTTTATGCAGTATTTTAAAACAATTTTGTGTATGGGAGAAAGTTTGTGAACCATCAGGAAGCAAAAGTGTCACCATCTCATGTCAGCACTGAAAAGGTTCTGATTTTGGAGTGCTTTGGGTATTAGATTTTGGTTTAGGAATTCTCATCCTGCATGAGCTAAAATTATTAAAAGAAAAGAGAACGTGGCCAAAATTTTCAAATCATTGTTTATGGTTCTCATCTGCTACTCTTCTCCTCTGACATCTATTCACTGTCAATTTCTTTTTCAAATCTGGAATACCAGGACATGGAAAAACAAAAGTAATGGATTTTATCCAATCTTTCACACTGATAAGCTGGAGCAAGTAACCACTCCTTCTGCCTCAGATTGTACCACATTTCTCAAAGTAATATTGTACAGATAAAATAGAATAATGTTTATAAAATTCTTAGCACAAAAAATGACTTAAGAAATGAGATCAATCATCACCATGTTCAGCAGAAATTTCAGCACTAGCTTATACAAAGTCATGCTTGCGCTTGGTTAACTTACCTCTTAGTACTTACCTGAATAGTGTATATTTTCAGTGAGATTGTGGTTTCCTGGAAAGGCAAAAATATATAAATATCTTACAGGTTTTATGTTTCCATAATAAGAAAAAAAAGCACCTAACGTACAGTTGGAATCTTTATGGTTATTGAAAAATAAATGAAAAGACAAAAACTTAAATTTTCAGCCCTTGGGGAATCCATTCCCTTGTCTTTAATTTTAAAAGTTTGTATTTCCTTCTGTCTCCTCTCCTAGGACATGAAGCCGAATTAGCTTCCTTTTCTTGAAAATACTACAAAGATAATTACGCCTCCTTCCTTGTAGATTAGGGTGAACTTTCTGAAACTTCCCCCTCTCTCTCACATGATGAGGTGAAACACACTAAGTGCTTTCTGTGTAACTGGCACTATGTTTAAAAAAAAAAGGTTTGTAAATTAACATAATACTTACAACCATTGTGTATGCCAGATACCCCTATTAGACACATGTATATATTATTATATAATATATTTAATTATATTGTCGTATGTTTTACATGTGAAACTGAGGGCAGAAGTAAATTGACGTCTCAGAGCTAGAGAATGGCAGTCAGGGTGTTCCAGGCTAATATCATTCCTCTTCCATGGTTTCTCTTCACTCTTCCTTCTGCTCCATCATCAAAGCAAGATATGTTTGGGTAGAATTGGCATTTTTAACATCTTAAAGTTCCCTACATAATTCTAATTCTATTTGTATGTTCTTTAGTATGTTTTCTATCCCTTAAAACGCCTGTATATATTTTCTGTCAAAGTCATTATAAAATTGAAATGTTTATAGGTATTTTATATTTCGTTGCTCTAGTGTATGGATTATTGTTTCTATTACATCTTCTATTTGTTTTTGTTAATATATAGAAATCTGTTAATTGTTGCTTATAGACCTTGAATCCAAGAATGGTAATTTTTTTGTATTCCTTAGTGAAGAGAAAAATATTACATACAATGGATGAAACAACTTTATATGTCTTTCCAATTTTATCTATTTTCCTTGCATCATTTGATTAAAATATATATATTTAAAATGTTGAAGAACAATATTCTTGAGTACCTGAAGCCTTTAGCGATATAGTTCACCATGACATATAGTGTTTGTTTGAGGTTTTGGTAGGTGTATTCAGCACATTAGCAAAATCCCATTGTATTTCTTTTACCAATGCTTTCTTCAATAAATGTTCACTGAATTGTATTGAATGATATCCTGTTTTTACTGAGATAATGTTATTGTTTTTCTTAAATTGTTCATAGCCTGAATTACAAGGATAGCTATTTGTATATTTAGAAATATTTCAGTGGATGACAATGTATAAAACAAATAAAACACCAATGTACCCATCACCAGCTTAAAATAAAATATTACAGGCTGGGCATAGTGGCTCACGCCTGTAATCCCAGCACTTTGGGAGGCCAAGGCAGGTGGATCACTTGAGGCCAGGAGTTCGAGACCAGCCTGGCCAATATGGTGAAACCCCATCTCAACTGAAAATACAAAAATTAGCAGGGCATGGTGGCTCAGGCCTGTCCCACCTACTCAGGAGGCTAAGGCAGGATAATCGCTTGAACTTGAGAGGTGGAGATTGCAGTGAGCTGAGATTGCGCCACTGCACTCCAGCCTCAGCGACAGAGCAAGACCCCATCTCAAATATAAAATATACCATATAAAAATAAAACAAAATAATAAATAAAATATTACAGATTAATAGATGTCTGTGCGCACATAACCTGAATGTATGTTATTTATTATTTGCCTCTAGAGATAACAGAAGCCTACATTTTTGGTTAAATACTCTCCTTTCTTTATTTTAGAAGTAAATGTTTCATCCTTCCAGCTAAATTCCAGTACTTCGAAAGAGGTAAAACAATGATGTACTGGGACAAAAGTGCAGCAATATACATTTGTTTGAAAGACTGGTAAAATAAATAAAACTCTTAAAAAACCATAAGCCTATTCTGAATGCCCAAGAAGTCCTGGAATACAGAATGGCTTCCTCCTTCACTATTTCTCAAGAAGTGCTGTGGCTATTTGCTTCAGATTGTCCTGGGATTACTTTCTCAATCAGTTATTACTGGTTATGTCCTGGTTGTAGTACACAATTAAAATCTCACTAATGTCCTCTGCATTGTCATTCTAGTTTTATTTAAGCAACCAGCGAAATATGTTCTAAACATGTTTTAGAATACCCCCTTTAATCCTTTTCAAACATGTTAAAATAAGGAGCCAAAACTGTATTAATATAGGTAGCAAAGGTCCACATTAAGTGGTGCTGAAATCGGGGAAATGTCCAAAACCAGTTGCTAGGGTGTAAGAGTGGGTGCCATTGTCAAAAGCTTGCAAAAACCTGTATTTACCGAGGGATACCGGCATTGTATCAGGTCAAAATTGGGACCCTTTGCAATAAGTCAGCAGGAATAAGGCAGCGGCAAATGCAGAATGTGTGAGTCATGAAACGTAAGAGCCAGCGCCAGAGTGTCACATTATTTCACCAAGCGTGAACTTCACAAATGCATCATCCTGTTCTGCCAGTTTTGTGTTTGATTTCTTCATGCTCTTCTCGAATTTTCTCATCACATTCTTTCAGAAAACGTTCACAGACCTACTCACCCTGCCCTAGAGTAGACAAGGCCTGTCTTTATTTAATGGTGAGGATGTTATAGATGAAGTCCTTTGAGGAGAAATGCACGTGACCGTGCATCAGAAGTACGAGGTGGATCTGTCGGTTGGAAACTAGTTTCTGAAACGCCTTCTCTTCCGCATGCGTTTATTCTCTTATGCTGCAAAGAATTTGCTCCGTGGTGAGGGGAGAGGAGACTGGAGGGGGACAGCTCCATTCCCAGCTACTTCTGCAGAAAGTATAATGGCCATTCTGACTGGAGTTGGATGGTATCTCATTGTGGTTTTGATTTGGATTTCTCTAATGATAAGTGATGATGAGCTTTTTTATCATATGTTAGTTGGATGCATAAATGTCTTTTTTTGAGAAGTGTCTGTTCATACACTTCTCCCATTTTTTGATGAGGTTGTTTTTTTCTTGTAAATTTGGTTATGTTCCTTGTAGATTCTGGATGTTAGACCTTTGTCAGATGGATAGATTGTGAAAATTTGTTCCCATTCCATAGGTTGCCTGTTCACTCTGATGCTAGTTTCTTTTGCTGTGCAGAAGCACTTCAGTTTAATTAGATCTCATTTGTCAATTTTGGCTTTTGCTGCAATTGCTCTTGGTGTTTTTTGTCATGAAGTCTTTGCCTATACCTATGTCCTGAATGGTATTGCCTAGGTTTTTTTCCAGGGTTTTCATGGTTTTGAGTTTTACATTTAAGTCTTTAATCCATCTTGAGTTAATTTTTATATAAGGTGTAAGGAAGGGGTCTAGTTTCTGTTTTCTGCTTATGGCTAGCCAGCTCTCCCAGCACCATTTATTAAAAAGGGAATAATTTCCCCATTGCTTTTTTTGTCAGGTTTGTCAAAGATTAGATGGTTGTAGATGTGTGGTGCTATTTCTGAGGCCACTGTTCTGTTCCATTGGTCTATATATCTGTTTTGGCACCACTACCATGCTGTTTTGGTTACGGTAGCCTTGCAATATTGTTTGAAGTCAGGTAGCATGATGCCTCCAGCTTTGTTCTTCTTGCTTAAGATTGTCTTGACTATACAGGCTCTTTTTTGGTTCCATATGAAATTAAAAGAAGTTTTTTTCTAATTCTGTGAAGAATGTCAATGGTAGTTTGATGGGATTAGCATTGAATCTATAAATTTCTTTGCTCGATATGGCCATTTTTATGATATAGATTCTTCCTATCCACAAGGATGAAATGTTTTTCCATTTGTTTGTGTCCTCTCCTATTTCCTTGAGGAGTGATTTGTAGTTATCCTTGAAGAGGTCCTTTACATCCCTTGTTAGCTGTATGCCTAGGTACTTTATTATCTGTGTAGTCATTGTGAATGAGAGTTAATTCATGAATTGCCTCTATTGTTAGTGTATAGGAATGCTTGTGATTTTCGGACATTTATTTTGTATCCTGGGACTTTGCTCAAGTTGCTTATCAGCTTAGGGAGTTTTGGACCTGAGATGATGGGGTTTTCTAAATATAGAATCATATCATCCACAAACTGAAACAATTTGACTTTCTCTCTTCCTGTTTAAATATGCTTTTTTTTTTTTCTTGCCTGATTGCTGTGGCCAGGACTTCCAATACTATACTGAATAGGAGTGGTGAGAGAGGACATCCTTGTCTTGTGCTGGTTTTCAAAGGGAATGCTTTCAGCTTTTGCCCATTCAGTATCATATTGACTATGGGTTTGTCATAAGTAGCTTTTATTATTTTGAGATATGTTTCATCAACACCTAGTTTATTGAGAGTTTTTAACATGAAAGGGATGTTGAAGTTTCTCGAAGGCCTTTTCTGCATCTGTTGAGAAATAACTTTTTTTTCCTTTGGTTCTGTTTCTGTGATGGATTACTTTTACTGGTTTGCATATGTTGAACCAGTCTTGCATCTCAGGGATGAAGCAGACTTGATTGGGCTGTAGAGGCATTTGATGTGCTGTTGGATTTTGTTTGCTGGTATTTTATTGAGGATTTTCATTCACATCAATGTTCATCAGAGATATTGGCCTGATGTTTTCTTTTTTTGTTGTTGTTGTGTCCTTGACAGGTTTTGGTATCAGGATGATGCTGATCTCATAAAATGAGTTAGAGAGAAGTCCCTCCTTTTCAATTATTTGCAATAGTTTCAGAAGCTAGGGTACCAGCTCTTCTTTGTACCTCTGGTAGAATTTGGCTGTGAATCCATCTGACCATGGACTTTTTTTTGGATGGTAGGCTATTAATTACTACCTCAATTTCAGAATTGTTATTGGTCTATTCAGGGATTTCATTTCTTCCTGGTTTAGTCCTGGGAGAATGTATGTGTCCAGGAATTTATCCATTTTTTCTAGATTTTCCAGTTTATTTGCATAGAGGTTTTTATAGTATTCTCTGATGGTAGTTTGTATTTCTGTGAGGCCATTGGTGACATCCCCTTCATCATTTTTTATTGTGTGTATTTGATTCCTTATTGTTTATTAGTCTAGCCTGTGGTCTATCTATTTTGTTAATTTTTTTCCAAAAGTTAGCTCCTGAATTCATTGATTTTTTGAAGAGTTTTTTGTGACTCTATTTTCTTCAGTTCTGCTCTGATCTTAGTGATTTTTTGTCTTCTGCTAACTTTTGGATTTGTTTGCTCTTGCTTCTCTAGTTCTTTTAATTGTGACGTCTGGTTGCCGATTTGAGATATTTCCAGCTTTTTGTTGTGGGCATTTAGTGCTACAAATTTCCCTCCTACCACTGCTTTGTTGTGTCCCAGAGATTCTGGTAAGTTGTCTCTTACTTCTCATTAGATTCAAAGAACGTCTTGATTTCTGCCTTAATTTTGTTATTTACCCAAGAGTCATTGACAAGCAGGCTGCTCAATTTCTGTATAGTTGTGTGGTTTTGAGTGAGTTTCTTTATCTTAAGTACCAATTTGATTGCATTGTGGTCTGAGAGACTGTTATAATTTCAGTTCTTTTGCATTTGCTGAGGAGTGTTTTATTTCCAATTATGTGGTCAATTGTAGGATAAGTGCTACATGGTGCTGAGAAGAATGTATATTCTGTTGATTTGGGGTGGAAAGTTCTGTAGATGTCTATTAGGTCCACTTGATCCAGAGCAACGTTCAAGTCCTAGATATCCTTGTTAATTTTCTGTCTCGTTGATCTGTCTAATATTGACAGTTGGTTGTTAAAGTCTCCCACTGTTATTGTATGGGAGTCTAAGTCACTCTGCAGGTCTCTTAAGAACTCATTTCATGAGTCTGGGTGCTCCTGTATTGGTTGCATCTATATTTAAGATAGTTAGCTCTTCTTGTTGCATTGATCCCTTTACCATTATATAATGCCCTTGTTTGTCTTTTTTGATCTTTGTTGGTTTAAAGTCTGTTTTATCAGAGACTCAGAGTACAACCCTTGCTTTTTTTTGTTGTTGTTGTTGCTTTCCATTTGCTTGGTAAATTTTCCTCCACCCCTTTATTTTGAGCCTATGTGTGTCTTTGCACGTGAGATGGATCTCCTGAATACAGCACACCAATGGGTCTTGATTCTTTATCCAATTTGCCAGTCTGTGTCTTTTAATAGGAGCATCTAGCCCATTTCCATTTCAGGTTAATATTGTTATGTGTGAATTTGATCCTCTCATCATGATGCTAGCTGGTTATATTGCACATTAGTTGATGCAGTTTCTTCATAGTGTCATTGTTCTTCACACTTGGGTCTGTTTTTGCAATGGCTGGTACCCGTTTTTTCTTTCTCTATTTAATGCTTCACTGGGGACCCCTTGGGAGGCAGGCCTGGTGGTGATGAAATCACCTTAACAGTTGCTTGTCTGGAAAGCATTTCATTTCTCCTTCACTTATGAAGCTGAATTTGGCTGGATATAAAATTCTGGATTGAAAATGATTTTCTTTGAGAATCTTGAATGTTGAACTTACTCTTTTCTGGCTTGTAGGGTTTCTGCTGAGGTATCTGCTAATAGTCTGCTGGATCTCCCTTTGTAGGTGACCTGACCTTTCTCTCTGGCTGCCCTTTTTCCCTCATTTTGACCTTGGAGAACCTGATGATTATGTGTCTTGGGGTTGATCTTCTCATGGAGTATCTTATTGGTGTTCTCTGTATTTCCTGAATTTGAATGTTGGCCTGTTTTGCTAGGTTGGGGAAGCTCTCCTGGATAATATCCTGAAGTGTGTTTTCCAACTTGGTTCCATTCTCCTTATGTCTTTCAGGTACTCCAATCAATTGTAGATTCCATCTTTTTACATAGTCCCATATTTCTCAGAGGTTTTGTTCATTCCTTTTTATTCTTCTTTTTCTTTAATTTTGTCTGCATGCCTTATTTCAGCAAGATGGTCTTTAGACCCTAGTATCCTTTTTTTCACTTGATAAGTTTAGTTACTGATACTTGCGTATGCTTCATGAAGTTGTTATGCTATGTTTTTAAGCTATGTCAGGTGTTTATGTTCCTCTCTAAACTGGTTACTCTAGTTAGCAGCTCCTGTAAACTTTTATCCAGTTCTTAGCTTCTTTGCATTGGGTTAGAACATGCTCCTTTAGCTCAGTGCAGTTTGTTATTTACCCACTTTCTGAAGCCTAGTTTTGTCAATTCATCCATCTCACTCTCCATCCAGTTCTTTGCCCTTGCTGGAGAGGTGTTGCAGTCATTTGGAGGAAAAGAGACATTCTGTCTTTTGGAATTTCTGTGTTTGGGGGCTGGATTTTCCTCATCTTGGAGGATTTATCCACCTTTGATCTTTGAACCTGATGACAATTGGATGGGGTTTTTGTGAAGGGGGAGTATTTTTTGTTGATGTTGTTGTTGTTGCTGCTGCTTTCTGTCTGTTAGTTTTTCTTCTGACAGTCAGGCCCCTCTTCTGGAGGTCTGCTGCAGTTTGCTGGGGGTTCACTACAGACCCTGTTCACCTGGGTATCACCAGTGGAGGCTGCAGAACAGCAAAGATTACTTCCTGCTACTTCCCCTGGAAGCTTCGTCCCAGAGGGGTGCCGGCCTGATGCCAGTCAGAGCTCTCTTGTATGAGGTGTCTTTCGACCCCTCCTGGGAGGTCTCTCCCAGTCAGGATGCATGGCGTCAGGGACCCGCTTGAGGAGGCCATCTGTCCCTTAGCAGAGCTGGTGTGCTGCGCTGGGAGAAGCCTCCTTGACAGGATCAGCTGCTCTGTTCAGAGCCCGCAGGCAGGAAAGGTTAAGTCTGCTGAAGCTGCACCCACAGCCGCCCCTCTCCCCCAGTGCTCTGTTCCAGGGAGATGAGAGTTCTGTCTGTCAGCCCCTGACTGGAGCTGCTGGATCTCCTGCAGAGATGCCCTCCCCGGTCAGGAGAAATCTAGAGAGGCAGTCTGTCCACAGCCGCTTGGCTGCGCTGCGGTGAATTCCGTTCAGTCCAGAACTCCCACTCTTCTCAGCACTGTCAAGAGAAAACCTCCTACTAAAGCCACAGTAGTGGCGGTCGCCCCTCCCCCCACCAAACTCTATCAAACACGCAGACTCCAGACTGAGGTTCTGGCAGTGAGAATTTCAAGCCAGTGGTTATTACCTTTCTGGGCTCTGTGGGAGTAGGATTCGCTGAGCAAGACCAATTGGCTCCCTGGCTTCAGCCCCCTTTCCAGGGAGCGGACAGTTCTCCTGTCTCACTGAAGTTCCAGGCACCACCGGAGCATGAAAAAAACTACTGCAGCTCTGTGCCAGCCGAACAGCCACCCAGTTTTGTGCCTAAAACTCAGGGAGCTGGTATTGTCAGCTCACAAGGGAGAATCCTGATCTGTGGATTGCAAAAATCCGTGGGAAAAGCGTAGTACCCTGGGCAGGTATCACAGTCCCTCACTGCTTCCCTTGGCTGGGAGAGGGAGGTGCACTGGGTCTATGCCTCACCCGGGCAAAGCAATGTCCCATCCTGCTTCTGCTCAGAGAGGGAGGTGCACTGGTCTATGCCTCACCCGGGCAAAGCAATGTCCCATCCTGTTTCTGCTCAGAGAGGGAGGTGCACTGGTCTATGCCTCACCCGGGCAAAGCAATGTCCCATCCTGCTTCTGCTCAGAGAGGGAGGTGCACTGGTCTATGCCTCACCCGGGCAAAGCAATGTCCCATCCTGCTTCTGCTCAGAGAGGGAGGTGCACTGGTCTATGCCTCACCCGGGCAAAGCAATGTCCCATCCTGCTTCTGCTCAGAGAGGGAGGTGCACTGGTCTATGCCTCACCCGGGCAAAGCAATGTCCCATCCTGCTTCTGCTCAGAGAGGGAGGTGCACTGGTCTATGCCTCACCCGGGCAAAGCAATGTCCCATCCTGCTTCTGCTCAGAGAGGGAGGTGCACTGGTCTATGCCTCACCCGGGCAAAGCAATGTCCCCTCCTGCTTCTGCTCAGAGAGGCAGGTGCACTGGTCTATGCCTCACCCGGGCAAAGCAATGTCCCATCCTGCTTCTGCTCAGAGAGGGAGGTGCACTGGTCTATGCCTCACCCGGGCAAAGCAATGTCCCATCCTGCTTCTGCTCAGAGAGGGAGGTGCACTGGTCTATGCCTCACCCGGGCAAAGCAATGTCCCATCCTGCTTCCGCTCAGAGAGGGAGGTGCACTGGGTCTATGCCTCACCCGGGCAAAGCAATGTCCCATCCTGCTTCCGCTCAGAGAGGGAGGTGCACTGGTCTATGCCTCACCCGGGCAAAGCAATGTCCCATCCTGCTTCCGCTCAGAGAGGGAGGTGCACTGGTCTATGCCTCACCCGGGCAAAGCAATGTCCCATCCTGCTTCTGCTCAGAGAGGGAGGTGCACTGGTCTATGCCTCACCCGGGCAAAGCAATGTCCCATCCTGCTTCTGCTCAGAGAGGGAGGTGCACTGGTCTATGCCTCACCCGGGCAAAGCAATGTCCCATCCTGCTTCTGCTCAGAGAGGGAGGTGCACTGGTCTATGCCTCACCCGGGCAAAGTAATGTCCCATCCTGCTTCTGCTCAGAGAGGGAGGTGAACTGGGTCTATGCCTCACCCGGGCAAAGCATTGTCCCATCCTGCTTCTGCTCACTCTCTGTGGGTCACAGCCACTCCCTAGCCAGTCCCAGTGAGATGAACTGGGTACCTCTGTTGGAAACGCAGAAATTACTCACCTTCTGCATTGGCCTTGCTGGGGGCTGCACACCAGAGCTGTTTCTGCTGAGTCATCTTGGTCCCTCCTACAATGTATTAACGTTTATTCCAAAGTGAGCTTCAAGAGGCTCAATAAAATTTTGAGTTTATACTTTAGGAAAAAAAAAGACTTGCTGGCTACCTGGCTGCATACCACAAAATTTATGATACTGAATAAAAACAAACTTTAATGTCCTGACTAGAATTAAGATGGTGGATAGGAAGCAGGACTAGCTTGCAGCTCCCACTCAGATGGACAGTGTAGTGTGTGGAAACTCACAATGTGGATTTTTGCTCCAAGAACTACTGCAGGAACATACCAGGAAAGCTGAGAGAATCCACAGATCCTTTGAAGGAACTGGATCACCACTGCAGGCTCCCTGAGACACTGAAAACCTGTGAGTCCATTTGCTTTCTCAACAGAGAGGCTCATGGTCTGGGGCAAATTCTCAGCCCTGGTCACCAGCTGCCTGGAAATAGACTTGGTGCTGTTGTGGGGGCACGGCGGGAGTAGGACTGGCCTTTAGGACTGCCTTCTGCGTGGGAGCTGGGTGAGGCCCGTGATTGCTGGCTTTCTCTCACTTCCCTGGTGACCTGTGTGTTGCAGCAGAGGCAGCCATAATCTCCCTGGGAACATAATTCCATTGGACTGGAAACTGCACGCCCATTTCCCCCACAGCAGCAGCAGCAGCAAGCCCCACCCAAGAAAAGGCTGAGCTCAGACACAGCAATCCCTGCCCTGACCAGGTGGTCTTTCTCTACCCACCTTGGTAGCTGAAGACAAAGGTCATAATCTCTTGTTACCTCTATGGCCTCACCCATCACTTGAGAAACCTGAATACTTGACCAGGTGATCTTAGGGCAAGTTTGCATCATCCCTACAGGGCCACTGCTGATGCACTCTGGAAAGCACCACCTCCTGGCTGGAGGCCAAGCAACACAAAACCAGCACAATAAACAAAAACACAACTGAAGACCTTTACAGTGTCCACTTCACTCCCCCGCTACCTCCGCTGGAGCAGGTGCTGGTATCCATGGCTGCAAAACCCGAAGACGGATCACATCACATGACTCTTTGCAGACACTGCCAAATACTAGCCCAGAGCTTGGTGGCTCCACGGCATGGCTAGAAACAGAACAGCAAAAACAACCACTACAGTTTGGATGTCAGGAAGCCCCATTCCTAGGGGAGGGGGGAGAACACCATGTAAAGGGAGCACCCAGTGGGTCAAAGAAATCTGAACAGCAGTCCTTAAACCCCAGATCTTCTTTTAGACATAGTTTACCAAAATGAGAAGGGACCAGGAAAACAATTCTGGTAACGTGACAAAACAAGATTCATTAATACCCCCAGAAGATCACAGCAGCTCACCACAAATGGATCCAAACCAAGACAAAATCTCTGAATTGCCAGAAAAAAATCAGAAGTTTGATTATTAAGCTAATCAAGGAGGAAACAGATAAAGGTGAAGTCCAACTTAAAGAAATAAAAAACATAATACAGAATATGAATCTGAAAGGAAAATTCTTCAGTGAAATAGATAGCATAAACAATGTCATAACTTCTGGAAATCAAGGAAACACTGAAAGAAATGCAAAATGCACTGGTAAGTCTGACAAATAGAATTGAACACTCAGAAGAAAGAACGCAGAGATTGAAGACAAGGTTTTCAAGTCAACCCAATCCATCCAAGGCAAAGAAAAGATAATTTTAAGTAATGAACAAAGCCTCCAAGAAGTTTGGGACTATGTTAAATATCCAAACATAAGAATAATTGGTGTTCCTGTGGAAGAAGAGAAATCTAAGAGTTTGGAAAATATATTCAAGGGAATAATTGAAGAAGACTTCCCTGGCCTTGCTAGAGCCCTAGACATCCAAATGCAAGCAGCACAAACATCACCCAGGAAATTCATTGCAAAAAGATCATTGCACATAGCCAACATGTTAACTGAAGTCAAGATGAATGAAAAAATTGTAAAAGCTGTGAGACAAAAGCATCAGGTAACCTATGAAGAAAAACCTACCAGATTAACAGCAGATTTCTCAGCAGAAACCCTACAAGCTAGAAGGGACTGGGGTCCTGTTTTCAGCCTCTTTAAACAAAACAATTATCAGCAAATAATTCTGTATTCAGTGAAACGAAGCCTCACAAATGAAGGAAAGGCATCCTCTTTTCTAGGCAAAGAGAAGCTGAGAGAATTCACCACTACCAAGCCAGCACTACAAGAACTGCTAAAAGGAGTTCTAAACCTTGAAACAAATTCTTGGAATACACCAAAATAGAACTTCCTTAAAGCATAAATATCACAGGACCTATATAACAATAACAGAATGAAAATAAACAAAGGTATTCAGGCAACAAATAGCACAATGTATAGAATAGTACCTCATATCTCAATCCTAACATTAATATATTGGCCTAAATGTTCCATATAAAAGATACAGAGTGGCAGAATAGATAGGAATTTGACAAACAAGTTTCTGCATCCTCAGGAGACTCAATTAACATATAAGGACTCACATAAACTTAAGATAAAGGGGTGGAAGAAGATATTCCATGTAAATGGACACCAAAAGCAAGCAGTAATAGCTATTCTTATATCATAAAAAGCAAAACCTTCAGGTAACAGCAGTTACAAAAGGCAAAGAGGAACATTATATAATGATAAACAGATTAGTGCAAGAGGAATATACCAAATCACAAATATATATGCACCTAACTGTGGAAATCCAAATTAATAAAACAATTACTACTAGACCTAAGAAATCAGATAGTCAACAACACAGAATTACTTGGGGACTTTAATACTCAACAGAGAACACTAGACATGTCATCAAAATAGAAAGTTGACTAAGAAACAATGAACTCAAACTATACACCACAACAAAAGGACCTAGATATTTACAGAATATTCTACCCAACAACTGCAGAATGTACATTTTATTCATCAGCATATGAAATATTCTCTAAGATAGACCATATGATAGGCCACAAAACAAGCCTCAGTAAAACTGAGAAAATTGAAATTTTATGAAGTACTCTCTTGGACTGCAGTGGAACAAAATTGAAAATCAACTTCCAAGTGAACTCTAAAAACCATGCAAATACATGGAAATTAAATAATCTGCTCCTGAACGATCATTGGCTTAACGTTGAAACGAGGTTGGAAATTTAAAAATTATTTAAACTGAATGATAATAGTTAACATAACCTATCAAAACCTCTGGGACACAGCAAAAGCAGTGCTAAGAGGAAAGTTCATACCAGTAAATGCCTACATCAAAAAGTCTGAAAGAGCTCAAATAGACAATCTAAGGTCATACCTCACTGAACTGGAGAAACAAAAACAATCCAAACCCACACCCAGAAGAAGAAAAGAAATAAGAAACGTCAGAGCAGAACTAAACGAAATTGAAACCAAAATCAATGTAACGGTAAGTGAAACAAAAAGCTGGTTCTTTGAAAAGACAAATAACATTAATAGGCAATTATCAAGATTAACGAAGAAAGAAGAGAGAGGATCCAAATAAGCTCAATTAGAAATGAAACAGGCGGTATTACAATCGGTACCGCAGAAACACAAAAGATTATTCAAGGCTACTGTGAACACCTTTCTGCACATAAACTAAAAAACCTAGAGGAGATGGATACATTTCTGGAAATATATAAACCTCCAAGATTAAACAAGGAAGATACAGAATCTATGAACAGACCAATAACAAGCAGAGAGACTGAAATGGTAATTTAAAAATAAAAAAAGAAAAAGGCCAACAAAATAAAGTCCAAGACCAGAGATATTCACAGCTGAATTTTTTCAGACATTCAAAGAAGAATTAGTACCAATCCTACTAACATTATTCCAAAAGATAAAGAGGGAATCTTCCCTAAATCATTCTCTGAAGCCACTATCACCATAATACCAAAATCAGGGAAGGAAACAACAAGAAAAGAAAACTGCAGACCATTATTCCTGATGAACATACATGCAAAACTCCTCAACAAAATACTAGCAAACTGAATCCAACGGCATATTATAAAGATAATCCACGATGATCAAGTGGGTTTCATACCGGGAATGCAGGAATGGTTTAACATATGTATGTCAATAAATGTGATAAACCACATAAACAGAATTAAAAACAAAAATTACATTATCATATCAATAGACACAAAAAGCATTTGACAAAATCCAGCATCCCTTTACGATTAAAATCATCAGCAAAATCGGCATAGAAGGGAATTATCATAATATAATCAAAACCATCTATGACAAACCTACAGCCAACATTAAGCTGAATGGGCAAAAGTTGAAAGCATTTCTCCTGAGAACTGGAATAAGACAAGGATATCCACTGTCACCACTCCTATTCAAGATAGTACTGGAAGTCCTAGCTAGAGCAGTAAGACAAGATAAATAAGTAAAGGGCATCCAAATTGGTAAAGAGGAGGTAAAACTCAGTGTTTACTGATGATATAAGTATATACTTAGAAAACCCTTAAGACTCATTCAAAAAGCTCCTAGAACTGGTAAATGAATTCAGCAAAGTTTCAGGACACAAAATTAATGCACACAAATCAGTGGCTTTGCTATACACTAACAGCGACCAAGCAGAGAATCAAATCAAGAATTCAATCCCTATTACAATAGCTGCAAAAAGCCAAAACCAAAAACATAGGAATATACTTATGCAAGGAGGTAAAAGACCTCTACAAGGAAAACTATAAAAAACTGAGGAAAATATCATTGTCAACACAAAAAATGGAAACACATCCCATGCTCATGGATGGGTAGAATCAATAGTGGAAAATGACCATACTGCCAAAAGCAATCTACAAATTCCATGAGATTCCCATCAAAATGCCACCATCATTGTTCAGAGAACTAGAAGAAACATTTCTAAAATTCATATAGAACCAAAAAAAAAGCCTACATAGCCAAAGCAAGACTAAGCAAAAAGTGCAAATCTGAAGGCATCACATGACCCAATTTCAGACTATATTCTAAAGCCACAGTCACTAAACGGCATGGTACTGGTATAAAAATAGGCACATAGACCAATGGAACAGAAGAGAGAACCCAGAAATAAACCAAAATATTTGCATCCAACTGGTCTTCAACAAAGCAAACAAAAACATAAAGTAGGGAAAGGACAACCTATTCAACAGATGGTGCTGGGATAATTGGCAAGCCACATGTAGGAGAATGAAACTGGATCCTCATCTCTCACCTTATAAAAAATCAACTCAGGATGGATCAAAGACTTACATCTAAGACCTGAAACCATAAAGATTCTAGAAGATAAAATCAGAAAAACCCTTCTAGACATTGGCTTAGGCAAAGACTTCATGACCAAGAACCCAATAGCAAATGCAAAAAAGAAACAAACAAACAAAACAAAGATAAACAGAGAGGACTTAATTAAGCTAAAAAGCTTCTGCACAGCAAAAGAAATAATCCTCAGGGTTAACAGACAACCCATCGGGTGGAAGAAAATCTTCACAATCTATACAGCTGACAAAAGAATAATATCCAGAATCTACAAAGAACTCAAACAAATCAGCAAGAAGAAAACAAACAATCCCATCAAAAAGTGGTCTAAGGGACATAAACAGACAATTTTCACAAGAAGATATACAAATGGCCAACAAGCATATGGAAAAATGCTCAACATCACTAATTATCAAGGAAATGCAAATCAAAACCACAGTGCAATACCACCTCACTCCTGCAAGAATGACCATAATAAAAAAATCAAACAATAATAGATGATGGCATGGATGCAGTGAAAAGGGAAAACTTTTACACTCTTGGTGGGAATGTAAACCAGTACAACCACTATGGCCAACAATGTGAAGATTCCTTAAAGAACTAAAAGTAGATTTACCATTTGATCCAGTAATACAACTACTAGGTATATACTCAGAAGTAAAGAAGTCATTAAATGAAAAAGATATTTATACTTGCAGGTTTTTAGGAGCACAATTTGCAATTGCAAAAATGTGGAACCTGCCTAAATGCCCATCAATCAAGGAGTGGATATAGAAAATGTGAGATATATATAAATTACCACGGAATATAACTCAGCCATAAAAAGGAATGAATTAATAGGATTTGCAGCAACCTGGTTGGAATTGGAGACTATTATTCAAAGTGAAATAACTCAGGAATGGAAAACCAAACATCACATGTTTTCACTCATATGTGCAAGCTAAGCTATGAGACACCAAGGCATAAAAATGAGACCATAAACTTTGGGGACTTGGTGGAAACGGTGGGGGGTGGCAAGGGATAAAAGACCACACATTTGATAAAGTGAACACTGCTTGGATGATGGGTGCACCAAAATCTCAGAAATCGCCACTAAAGAACTTATTAATGAAACCAAACACCGCCTGTTCCCCAAAAAGATATTGAAATTAAAAAGTAATTTAAAGAAATACTTTAGTGTCCTTATTGAAAATGACTTATATTGTAGTCATAACTGAATTGAATATACAAAAATAAATATATAAAATGGTTTACCTGAAATAAATTGTATAGGTGCCCATAAATATGTTAGGCAATGTACATAATCAATGCTAGTATTTTGACATCATAGAAAAAGATGGATATTAGAAAGAAGAATTTAGCAAACAGCAAAACATAAAGTTTATGAGGTAACTCACTCTCAGACTTGCCCTTTCCTAAGATCTTCATGAATGCTCTAGTCACCTCCTTGTTGCGGAGGCTGTAGATGAGGGGATTCAGCATGGGAGTGAGGATGGTGTAGAATACAGACACCATCTTGTCCTGCGTTGGGGAGTGATCAGATGTGGGCCGTATGTACATGAACAAAGCTGCTCCATAGTACATTCCCACCACCATGAGGTGAGAGGAACAGGTCGTGAAAGCTTTGCAACGACCCTCTCCAGATCCCATGTGAATGACAGCCAGAATAACTCGAGCATAGGAAGCAATGATGATTGCAACAGGGAAAACAAGCATTACTATACAGCAGATGAAAATAACCTCTTCAAATATTGATGTGTCATTGCATGAGAGGATTAGTAGGGAAGGGAATTCACAGAAGAAGTGGGCTATTTCCCGAGACCCACAAAAGGAGAAGGAAAATGTGGCTACAGCATCAATGATTCCATCTGTAGAGCCCAGGATCCAGGAGAAGGTAGCCATAAGTCCACAAATTTTAGGATTCATGAGATTGGTATATCTTAGAGGGTGGCAAATAGCAATATAGCGGTCATAAGCCATAACAGCCAAAAGAAAACATTCAGAGCCAGACAGTGATATATAGAAGAAAATTTGTGTGACACAACCAGCCATAGAAATGGACTTGCTGCCAGACAGGTAGTTGAAGGCCATCTTGGGTACGGTGGTGCAGATGAGCATGAGGTCCATGAGGGACAGTTGGCTGAGGAGGAAGTACATGGGGGTGTGGAGCTGGGTGTCCAGGTAGATGAGGAGAACCATGACAGAGTTTCCCATGAAGGCCACTAAAAAGATGCCCAGGACCAGAAAGAAGAGGAACGTGTGTGGTGGGCTGTGATTGAAGATTCCAAGGAGGATGAAGTCGGAGTTGAAGGTCTGATTCTCCCATGCCATGATGAATGTGCTTTTTACCTAGTACCACAAAACCATCTTATTAATTTGGTAAACATTTACCCAGTGTCTTATAAATCGTGTGATTTTGGTAAATTCTGTAGTTGGGTGATCAATACAGCATGAATAGAAGTAGGAAACTAAAAGGTCAAGAAGTATAGAATCTGAACGAAATATGTTCTTTCAATACAGCATCACTTATAAAATTATGGAGCTTGTTCTAAGATTTATTCTGGGCATCCTTTTTCAATTGAAAAATTAGAATAAAAATATCTAATAAATGATTGACGGAGTTTTCCAAAAAGAATATGTCTCCAAAGCAAACAGATAGTTCCTAAAACACGAGAAGTATTTCAGAGATAAATTGATAGGCTAATTCAGCTTCAGTCAACATGTGACCAACACAATACTACAAATGTAGAATAAATGTATGCTTCGCTCTCATAATAGGCAGTTTTACACCAGTGTTAACAAAATCTGTATGTTTGCTTATTACTTTACAGTTTAGAATATTTGATCTACACTTTATAGTAAGCTTTGTTGTATATGGTAAGTGGATACACTGGAAAGATTTTCAATTATGCATATCTAAAACCTAGGCCCTTTTTCTCTAGCCCAGTGTTATGGATTGAATTATATTTCTTCCCAAAAAGATACTCAGCGTGTGAGCTTGTTTGGAAATACGTAAAGACGGTAATTAGTTAATGTGAGGTGATATTGGAGCACAGTGGGTCTCTCTAATGCAATATGACTCACGTTCTGATAAGACAGTGGCCATGTGAAGACCGAGACACTGGGAATACCATGTGATAGGGGAGGCAGCGACTGGAGTGATGCATCTACAAACCAAGAAATGCCAACAACTGTTAGTTATCACAGGAACCTGGGAGAGAGGAATGGGACAGATTCGTCCTCTTAGAGCCCTCAGAAATAACCAACACTGCTGACATCTTGATTTCAGATTTCTGAAATCCAGAACTGTGAGGTAAATTTATGTTGTTTCAAGGTAATCAGTTTGAGATACTCTGTATTGGCATTCTTAGGAAACTAATACACACAATATCTCCTCTAGAAAATAAGTACATACAAAAACAGAAATTCAGAAAAGCATGAGATCCACCCTTTCAAACAACACTTGTGAAGTCTGGCTATATGTTGACCACTGTGGCTACCACAGTAATTAGATCAAAGAAAGCCCCTGTTCATACAGGTCATAGTGAGTGCGATCAGATGATGACTATAAACCACTTTATATCATAAAAGGATAAATGTTTTGGAGAAAAGTAAGTCAAAGATGGGTGTTAGAATTGTGTGAGCATGTTCATCTTTGAACAGAGTAGTCAAGGGAAATCTCACACATCTAGTGGCATTTGACAAAGACTCTGAGGAGGTGAGAAAGAGACCAGATCACAGGAAAGGGTTGTACATCTATGCATTCCACAAAATGAAATGCAATAATTAGAACATACACAGAGAAAATAGAAATGTATAGAAGATTGTGGGAATAAAAACATGGTTTTCTAATTTAAGGTATGTTGCTTGTATGTTGTGGCATTTAGTTTTTATCGTATGAGATAATTATAAATGTATGAGCAAAGCCAATGTGTGAAGGGAGATTATTATGGGCAATAAAAAAATGAGGTCATAAACAGAAAGATATGCCTAGTGAGTAGGTTCATTAGACAGAAATGTGCTTTTTTAATTTATTCATGCATCACATTTTTATGAAGAGACTAAAAACAACAATGAAAGCTGAATAAACCAGGAGCAACAAGAGAGTTAGAAGAAATCTGCAGAGGAGATGGAATCTAGAATTTGTCCTCATGGGGTGAAATACAATTTTTTAAATAGGTGGGTAGTAAAGTATACCTCTTTGAGTTTTATTTATTTATATAAATTGTGAATAATATTGTGAATAAGAAAGAAAAAACCTCTCAAAAGCAGTTTTAAATTTTCATTCAAGAACAGCTGTTATGTGGAAATACTAACCTACCAAAAAATGCCTCTTCAGTGCTGGGAAGGTAGAGAAGGAACCTCCTTATGTGACACTCATGAGATAGAATAGCAATCTCTAAAAGAAAAACAAATCATTTTTGTCAATCAGCATGAAGAGAGAAACAGGTCTCAACTTCCATTCCGGTTTTTAAAAAATGGTTATCAAGAAGTTGGATAAACCTGTTTGGTAGCTCAGATCCAGGTCAAGTCAACATCTTGATAAGCAGTAATGGGCATCTCTGGGATCTCTTGTGTTCAGGGTTTCCTACCCTAAGTTTCCCTTGTTATGTTGTCCTCAAAGGAGGTAGTCTGTTAAGGTCAATCAGGGGAAAAAACTTTGTATTGCCTCAATAATTTCCAGTGCTTATGAGCTGAATTTGCTTCAAGAAAATAATTCATATCAACTTCCTTTATGGAATGACCTATTTTGACCATCGTACCATAGCTTTCCCAGTTATCTTGATCTTGTCAACTGTTGTAAGACACCAATAAATCCAAACAAAATTGTATTATCTTAAATTTCCACCATAATTTTTCCTTAGGTCAGTCTGCAGTATTACTCCAAGAAGGAAGCTATCTGGTCTAGTTAGCTTATACCTATATATCTTTTTAAGTTGGCAAAGTGTTCTTTACATTTGAGAATCATTCCTTCCCAGTCACTAAATGGATGTAAAATGTTGAGTAATTCTATTCTACCTTTTAGACATTTCTACGACATATGTTTTAAACTCTACTGAATGATGAAGCATTAAAACAAAATTGAATAACAAATGTAAATCTACATAACCCTCTGAATTTTCTCAGTTACATTAGTTTAGGATGAACTTATACAAACACACACTTATTTGTCTTGTATTTTGTCACCTCCTTTCATTGCCTCAAATTTCCCTTCATATCCAGTTACTAAAACTATCTTCATTGACAATTGTCTTCATTGAGTTTGTCCTGTCACAGAGAATGTGTCAAGCTATATCACAAATTTATAACAAACAGTGATAATATTGAAAATATTGAGCACCTGTACCTTCTATGTTAAGATCTGTATGAACATTTATTCAATAAAATCCTATAAAGAAAAATAATGTTGTTTCTCATGAAAATTAGATATTTCTTCTAAGATACATGTGACAGATTGTACTTATCTTTAGGCACTAGGAATGTGAAACCCAATCCTGAAGCTCAGTGTAAGTTATCCAGGATATAAACAATCTGAAAATGCAGTGAAGGTAAAATTGGGTTTCCAAGAGGTATCTGTATATATTCCTATAAAAATGGATCTGTGATGAAATATTTCTGCAACTCCAAGTTTATAGGACTATTCATTGCCAAACAAAGAACATTCTGAGTTTCAGCACTGTAGTAGGAGGAATATAAAAAGCAGCTTTGTCAAAATGGATCTGAAATTATGACATCTTGTTTTTTATTTTTTTTCAGAATACCTATTGACATCTCAAAAGTATTCACATAATGACGTACAACATTTTGAATTTGGATTAGACATTGCCTGACAAGTATTTCTTTTCCTTAATTGTAATTTTATGCTTCTATTTTTATTTATTTTATTGAATTCACACTGTTTCTTTTGTAATCAACTCCATAATTTTGTAAAAAGATGGTGCATACATTTAGATTTTTCAAATGTCTTTTTATATATTAACCTTATCACGTCTGGAAGAATAGTCATCAGATTTCATGACAGTGTGGTGCTGTGCACATGCCAGAGCAATAGTAACACAGAAACCATGAAAATCATGGTCGGAAATTGAGAAGTCACTGAGTGAGATGATGGAAAAGAGACATCGAGTGAACAAAATTTGATGAAAAAATGTAAAGCATTATGTGAAATAATGTCAGACAGCATGTGTAATCCGCTGTGTAATCCACTGAGGTTGCTAAAATGACTTTACCCTTTTGTAACAGAAATGATCAGGAAACAAAAAAGCACATCTCTCATATTTGCAAAAATGAGCATAGCAACATTACTTGTAATATAAAAAGGCAACCTGCATGTGCACTGACAATGGAATTTATAACCATAACTACAAGAAGTAGCATTGGTGAGTCTCACCAATAGAATGCTGAATGAACAAAGTAGATCACAGGGAACACCCTCATGAGTCCTATTATGAGAAACCTAAACATACATGTAAAAATTATATATAAAGCACAGCAATACTGGTATAATGATTACTACAAAATGGACCTGAAAGGTCACATGATCAGAGAGAGTTAAATTGTTTTTCAAAAGCACTGGTAAATATTTTAAAACATTTTACAAAATATAGACGTAACATATTTGTTGTAAACATTTTTATACACTTGAAGTTTAATAAAATATTTAAATAATATGTGTAAATGCTTTAGAAGAGCACATGACAAATGTAAAGCAATCATTAAACTGGTTGAGGATTCCTTATCCGAAATGCTTGGGACCAGATGTATTGCAGATTTCAGGCTTTTTTCAGACTTTGGAATATCTGCATGTAGATAATGATATATCCTGGGAATGGAACCCAAGTGTGGAGACAACATTCATTTATATTCATTGTATACCATATACACATAGCCTGAAGGTAATTTTATGCAGTATTTTAAAATAATTTTGTATATGGGAGAAAGTTTGTGTACATTGAAACATTAGAAAGCAAAAGTGTCACAATCTTATGTCAGCAGTCAAAAGATTCAGGTTTTGGAGTATTTTGGATATTAGATTTTTGGTTTAGGGATTCTCATCCTGCATGAGCTACAATTATTGAAACAAAAGAGAATGTGGTAAAAATGTTCAAATCATTTGGTTATATCCTGTTCTCATCTGCTCTTTTCTCTTCTGACACCTATTCACTATCAATTTATTTCTCACATCTGGGATTCCAGGATATAAAAAACAAAAATAATGGATTTTATCCAATCTTTCACATTGGTAAGCGGGGGCAGGTAACCACTCCTTCTGCCTAAAGCGATACCACATTTCTCAAAGTAATATTGTACAGATAAAGTAGAATAATGTTTATAAAATTCATAGCACAAAAAATGACTTAAGAAATGAAATCAATCATCACCATGTTCGGCAGAAATTTTGATGCTAGCTTCCACACAGTCTTGCTTGGGCTTAGTTAACTTACCTCTTAGTACTGATCTGAATAGTGTGTATTTTCAATGTGATTTTAGGTTCCTGGAAAGGCAAAAATCTATAAGTATCTTACATGTTTTTATATTTCCATCATCAGAGAAAGCACAGTTGGAATCTTTATTGCTATTGACAGATGAATAAAAAGATAGAAACTTAAATTTTTACCTGTGGGGAATCCATTCCCTTGTCTTTAATTATCAAAGTTTGTATTACCTTCTATCTCCTCTCCTAGGACATGAAGCAGAATTAGCCTCTTTTCTTGAAAATACTACTTTTCTTTTCTTGAAAATACTACATAATAAGATAATTATGCCTCCTTCCTTGTAGATGAGTGTGAACTTTCTGAAACTTCTCGCTGTCTCTCACATGATGAGGAAAAAAACACCAGTGCTTTCTGTGTAACTGGCACTGTGGTTTAAAAAAAATTTGTAAACTCACCTAACACCTACAACCATTGTGTATGTCAGATACCCTTATTAGACACATGTAGATATTATTATATATTATCTTTAATTTTATAATCTCTTATTTTTTTTACATGAAGAAACTAAGTGCAGAAGCTTAAGTAAATTGCCTGATGTTGCAGAGCTAGAGAATGGCAGTCGTCTTCACTCTTCCTTCTGCTCGATCATAAAAGCAAGATATGCTTGGGTGGAATTGGCATTTTTAACATCTTGATGTTCTCTATATAATTCTGTAGAGAACATCAATAGAGATTCTATTTATTTGTTCTTTAATATGTTTTCTATCCCTTAAAACTACGGAATATATTTTCTGCAAAGGATATTATTATAAAATACAAATGTTCATGGGTATTTTATATTTTCTTGCTCTAGTGTGTGGAATATTGTTTCTATTACTTTTTTTTTTTTTTTTTTTTTTGAGACGGAGTCTAGCTCTATCACCCAGGCTGGAGTGCAGTGGCATGATCCGGGCTCACTGCAACCTCCGCCTCCGGGGTTCAAGCAATTCTCCTGCCTCAGTCTCCCGAGTAGTTGGGACTACAGGCACACGTGACCACGCCTGGCTAATTTTTTGTATTTTAGTAGAGATGGGGTTTCACCATGTTGCCCAGGCTGGTCTTGAACTCCTGAGCTCAGGCAATCCGCCCACCTCGGCCTCGCAAAGTGCTGGGATTACAGGCCTGAGCCACCAAACCCAGCCTGTATTACTTCTTCTATTTCGTTTGTTAACATTTAGAAATCTATTAATTGTTGCTTGTAGACCTTGAATCTAAGAATGCTAACTTTTATTTTTGTATTCCTTATTGCAGGGAAAAATATTATATACAATAGATGAAACAAGCCTATATCTCTTTCCAATTTTATCTATTTTTTCTTACATCATTTGATTAATATATACATATATACTTAAAATGTTGAAGAACAATATTCTTGAGTACCTGAAGTCTTTAGCAATATAGTTCACCATTACTCATAGTGTTAGTCTGAGGTTTGGTAGATATATTCACCACGTTAGCAAAATCTCGTTTTATTTCTTTTACCAATGCTTTGTTCAACGAATGTTCACTGAATTGTATTAAATGATGCCCTGCTTTTACTGAGTTAATTGTATTGTTTTCCTTAAATTGTTCATAGCCTGAATTACAATGATAGTTATTTTGTATCTTCAGAAATATTTCAGTGGAAGATAACGTATAAAACAAATTAAACACCAATGTACCCATCCCCAACTTAAAATAAAATATTACAGTCCGCACACGGTGGCTCACACCTGCAATCCCAGCACTTTGGGAGACCAAGGCGGGCAGATCACTTGAGGCCAGGAGTTCGAGACCAGCCTGGCCAATATGGTGAAACCCCATCTCAACTGAAAATACAAAAATTAGTAGGGCATGGTGGCACAGTCCTTTAATCCCAGCTACTTGGGAGGCTAAAGGAGGAGAATTGCTTGAACTAGGAAGGTGGAGGTTGCAGTGAACTGAGATCACACCACTGCACCCTAGCCTAGGTGACAGAGCAAGACTCCATTTCAAAAATAAAATATAAAATATGTGAAAAAAATAAAATAGTAAATAAAACATTAGAGATTAATAGAAGTCTGTGTGCACATACCCTGAATGTATGTCCTTTTTTCTATGCCTCCAGAGATAACAAAAGCCTGTATTTTTTGTTAAATAGTCTCACTTCTTTTTTTATTTTTTGAAGCAAATGTTTTATTCTTTCAATTAAATTCCAGTAGTACAAAAGAGGTAAAACAATAATATGCTGGAAAAAATACAGCAACAAACATTTGTTTAAAAGACTGATAAAGGGGGGAGGAGCCAAGATGGCCAAATAGGAACAGCTCCGGTCTACAGCCCCCAGCGTGAGCAACGCAGAAGACAGGTGATTTCTGCATTTCCATCTGAGGTACCGGGTTCATCTCACTAGGGAGTGCCAGACAGTGGGCGCAGGACAGTGGGTGAGCGCACCGTGCGCGAACCAAAGCAGGGCGAGGCATTGCCTCACCTGGGAAGCGCAAGGGGTCAGGAGTTCCCTTTCCGAGTCAAAGAAAGGGGTGACGGACACACCTGGAAAATCGGGTCACTCCCACCCGAATACTGCGCTTTTCAGACCGGCTTAAAAAACGGCGCACCACGAGACTATATCCCACACCTGGCTCAGAGGGTCCTACGCCCACGGAATCTCGCTGATTGCTAGCACAGCAGTCTGAGATCAAACTGCAAGGCAGCAGCGAGGCTGGGGGAGGGGCGCCCGCCATTGCCCAGGCTTGCTTAGGTAAACAAAGCAGCCGGGAAGCTCGAACTGGGTGGAGCCCACCACAGCTCAAGGAGGCCTGCCTGCCTCTGTAGGCTCCACCTCTGGGGGCAGGGCACAGACAAACAAAAAGACAGCAGTAACCTCTGCAGACTTAAATGTCCCTGTCTGACAGCTTTGAAGAGAGCAGTGGTTCTCCCAGCACGCAGCTGGAGATCTGAGAAAGGGCAGACTGCCTCCTCAAGTGGGTCCCTGACCCCTGACCCCTGAGCAGCCTAACTGGGAGGCACCCCCCAGCAGGGGCACACTGACACCTCACACGGCAGGGTATTCCAACAGACCTGCAGCTGAGGGTCCTGTCTGTTAGAAGGAAAACTAACAAACAGAAAGGACATCCACACCGAAAACCCATCTGTACATCACCATCATCAAAGACCAAAAGTAGATAAAACCACAAAGATGGGGAAAAAACAGAACAGAAAAACTGGAAACTCTAAAAAGCAGAGAGCTTCTCCTCCTCCAAAGGAACGCAGTTCCTCACCAGCAACGGAACAAACCTGGATGGAGAATGACTTTGACGAGCTGAGAGAAGAAGGTTTCAGACGATCAAATTACTCTGAGCTACGGGAGGACATTCAAACCAAAGGCAAAGAAGTTGAAAACTTTGAAAAAAATTTAGAAGAATGTATAACTAGAATAACCAATACAGAGAAGTGCTTAAAGGAGCTGATGGAGCTGAAAACCAAGGCTCGAGAACTACGTTAAGAATGCAGAAGCCTCAGGAGCCGATGCAATCAACTGGAAGAAAGGGTATCAGCAATGGAAGATGAAATGAATGAAATGAAGCGAGAAGGGAAGTTTAGAGAAAAAAGAATAAAAAGAAATGAGCAAAGCCTCCAAGAAATATGGGACTATGTGAAAAGACCAAATCAACGTCTGATTGGTGTACCTGAAAGTGATGTGGAGAATGGAACCAAGTTGGAAAACACTCTGCAGTATATTATCCAGGAGAACTTCCCCAATCTAGCAAGGCAGGCCAACGTTCAGATTCAGGAAATACAGAGAACGCCACAAAGATAATCCTTGAGAAGACCAACTCCAAGACACATAATTGTCAGATTCACCAAAGTCGAAATGAAGGAAAAAATGTTAAGGGCAGCCAGAGAGAAAGGTCGGGTTACCCTCAAAGGGAAGCCCATCAGATTAACAGCGGATCTCTCGGCAGAAACCCTACAAGCCAGAAGAGAGTGGGGGTCAATATTCAACATTCTTAAAGAAAAGAATTTTCAACCCAGAATTTCATATCCAGCCAAACTAAGCTTCATAAGTGAAGGAGAAATAAAATACTTTACAGACAAGCAAATGCTGAGAGATTTTGTCACCACCAGGCCTGCCCTAAAAGAGCTCCTGAAGGAAGCGCTAAACATGGAAAGGAACAACCGGTACCAGCCGCTGCAAAATCATGCCAAAATGTAAAGACCATTGAGACTAGGAAGAAACTGCATCAACTAACGAGCAAAATCACCAGCTAACATCATAATGACAGGATCAAATTCACACATAACAATATTAACTTTAAATGTAAATGGACTAAATTCTCCAATTAAAAGACACAGACTGGCAAGTTGGATAAAGAGTCAAGACCCATCAGTGTGCTGTATTCAGGAAACCCATCTCACATGCAGAGACACACATAGGCTCAAAATAAAAGGATGGAGGAAGATCTACCAAGCAAATGGAAAACAAAAAAAGGCAGGGGTTGCAATCCTAGTCTCTGATAAAACAGACTTTAAACCAACAAAGATCAAAAGAGACAAAGAAGGCCATTACATAATGGTAAAGGGATCAATTCAACAAGAGGAGCTAACTATCCTAAATATATATGCACCGAATACAGGAGCACCCAGATTCATAAAGCAAGTCCTGAGTGACCTACAAAGAGACTTAGACTCCCACACATTAATAATGGGAGACTTTAACACCCCACTGTCAACATTAGACAGATCAACGAGACAGAAAGTCAACAAGGATACCCAGGAATTGAACTCAGCTCTGCACCAAGCGGACCTAATAGACATCTACAGAACTCTCCACCCCAAATCAACAGAATATACATTTTTTTCAGCACCACACCACACCTATTCCAAAATTGACCACATACTTGGAAGTAAAGCTCTCCTCAGCAAATGTAAAAGAACAGAAATTATAACAAACTATCTCTCAGACCACAGTGCAATCAAACTAGAACTCAGGATTAAGAATCTCACTCAAAGCCACTCAACTACATGGAAACTGAACAACCTGCTCCTGAATGACTACTGGGTACATAACGAAATGAAGGCAGAAATAAAGATGTTCTTTGAAACCAACGAGAACAAAGACACAACATACCAGAATCTCTGGGACGCATTCAAAGCAGTGTGTAGAGGGAAATTTATAGCACTAAATGCCCACAAGAGAAAGCAGGAAAGATCCAAAATTGACACCCTAACATCACAATTAAAAGAACTAGAAAAGCAAGAGCAAACACATTCAAAAGCTAGCAGAAGGCAAGAAATAACTAAAATCAGAGCAGAACTGAAGGAAATAGAGACACAAAAAACCCTTCAAAAAATTAACGAATCCAGGAGCTGGTTTTTTGAAAGGATCAACAAAATTGATAGACCGCTAGCAAGACTAATAAAGAAAAAAAGAGAGGAGAATCAAATAGACACAATAAAAAATGATAAAGGGAATATCACCACCGATCCCACAGAAATACAAACTACCATCAGAGAATACTACAAACACCTCTACGCAAATAAACTAGAAAATCTAGAAGAAATGGATACATTCCTTGACACATACACTCTCCCAAGACTAAACCAGGAAGAAGTTGAATCTCTGAATAGACCAATAACAGGCTCTGAAATTGTGGCAATAATCAATAGCTTACCAACCAAAAAGAGTCCAGGACCAGAAGGATTCACAGCCGAATTCTACCAGAGGTACAAGGAGGAACTGGTACCATTCCTTCTGAAACTATTCCAATCAATAGAAAAAGAGGGAATCCTCCCTAACTCATCTTATGAGGCCAGCATCATTCTGATACCAAAGCCAGGCAGAGACACAACCAAAAAAGAGAATTTTAGACCAATATCCTTGATGAACATTGATGCAAAAATCCTCAATAAAATACTGGCAAACCGAATCCAGCAGCACATCAAAAAGCTTATCCACCATGATCAAGTGGGCTTCATCCCTGGGATGCAAGGCTGGTTCAATATACGCAAATCAATAAATGTAATCCAGCATATAAACAGAGCCAAAGACAAAAACCACATGATTATCTCAATAGATGCATAAAAAGCCTTTGACAAAATTCAACAACCCTTCATGCTAAAAACTCTCAATAAATTAGGTATTGATGGGACGTATTTCAAAATAATAAGAGCTATCTATGACAAACCCACAGCCAATATCATACTGAATGGGCAAAAACTGGAAGCATTCCCTTTGAAAACTGGCACAAGACAGGGATGCCCTCTCTCACCACTCCTATTCAACGTAGTGTTGGAAGTTCAGGCCAGGGCAATCAGGCAGGAGAAGGAAATAAAGGGTATTCAATTAGGAAAAGAGGAAGTCAAATTGTCCCTGTTTGCAGACGACATGACTGTTTATCTAGAAAACCCCATCGTCTCAGCCCAAAATCTCCTTAAGCTGATAAGCAACTTCAGCAAAGTCTCAGGATACAAAATCAATGTACAAAAATCACAAGCATTCTTATACACCAACAACAGACAAACAGAGAGCCAAATCATGAGTGAACTCCCATTCACAATTGCTTCAAAGAGAATAAAATACCTAGGAATCCAACTTACAAGGGACGTGAAGGACCTCTTCAAGGAGAACTACAAACCACTGCTCAAGGAAATAAAAGAGGATACAAACAAATGGAAGAACATTCCATGCTCATGGGTAGGAAGAATCAATATCGTGAAAATGGCCATACTGCCCAAGGTAATTTACAGATTCAATGCCATCCCCATCAAGCTACCAATGACTTTCTTCACAGAATTGGAAAAAACTACTTTAAAGTTCATATGGAACCAAAAAAGAGCCTGCATCGCCAAGTCCATCCTAAGCCAAAAGAACAAAGCTGGAGGCATCACACTACCTGACTTCAAACTATACTACAAGGCTACAGTAACCAAAACAGCATGGTACTGGTACCAAAACATAGATATAGATCAATGGAACAGAACAGAGCCCTCAGAAATAACGCCGCATATCTACAACTATCTGATCTTTGACAAACCTGAGAAAAACAAGCAATGGGGAAAGGATTCCCTATTTAATAAATGGTGCTGGGAAAACTGGCAAGCCATATGTAGAAAGCTGAAACTGGATCCCTTCCTTACACCTTATACAAAAATCAATTCAAGATGGATTAAAGATTTAAACGTTAGACCTAAAACCATAAAAACCCTAGAAGAAAACCTAGGCATTACCATTCAGGACATAGGCGTGGGCAAGGACTTCATGTCCAAAACACCAAAAGCAATGGCAACAGAAGCCAAAATTGACAAATGGGATCTAATTAAACTAAAGAGCTTCTGCACAGCAAAAGAAACTACCATCAGAGTGAACAGGCAACCTACAACATGGGAGAAAATTTTCGCAACCTACTCATCTGACAAAGGGCTAATATCCAGAATCTACAATGAACTCAAACAAATTTACAAGAAAAAAACAAACAACCCCATCAAAAAGTGGGCAAAGGACATGAACAGACACTTCTCAAAAGAAGACATTTATGCAGCCAAAAAATACATGAAAAAATGCTCATCATCACTGGCCATCAGAGAAATGCAAATCAAAACCACTATGAGATACCATCTCACACCAGTTAGAATGGCAATCATTAAAAAGTCAGGAAACAACAGGTGCTGGAGAGGATGTGGAGAAATAGGAACACTTTTACACTGTTGGTGGGACTGTAAACTAGTTCAACCATTGTGGAAGTCAGTGTGGCCATTCCTCAGGGATCTAGAACTAGAAATACCATTTGACCCAGCCATCCCATTACTGGGTATATACCCAAATGACTATAAATCATGCTGCTATAAAGACACATGCACACGTATGTTTATTGCGGCATTATTCACAATAGCAAAGACTTGGAACCAACCCAAATGTCCAACAATGATAGACTGGATTAAGAAAATGTGGCATATATACACCATGGAATACTATGCAACCATAAAAAATGATGAGTTCATGTCCTTTGTAGGGACATGGATGAAATTGGAAACCATCATTCTCAGTAAACTATCGCAAGAACAAAAAACCAAACACCGCATATTCTCACTCATAGGTGGGAATTGAACAATGAGATCACATGGTCACAGGAAGGGGAATATCACACTCTGGGGACTGTGGTGGGGTGGGGGGAGGGGGAGGGGTAGCATTGGGAGATATACCTAATGCTAGATGACGAGTTAGTGGGTGCAGCGCACCAGCATGGCACATGTATACATATGTAAGTAACCTGCACAATGTGTACATGTACCCTAAAACTTAAAGTATAATTAAAAAAAAAAAAAAGAAACTTACTAAATGAAAAAAAAAAAAGACTGATAAATAAAACTATTAAAAAATCATAAACCCATTCTGAATGCCCAAGAACTCCTGGAATACAGAAATGGCTTCTTCCTTCACTATTTCTGAAGAAGCACTGTAGGCTATTTGCTTCGGTTTGTCCTGGGATTACATTCTAAATTATTAATAACTGGTTACAGCTTGGTTGTAGCATACGATTAAAATCACGCTAACTTCCTCTGCATTGTCATTCTAGTTTTATTACACAACTAGTGAAGGACATGTTCTAGAATACCCCCTTTAATTCTTTTCAAACATATTAAAATAAGGAGCCAAACTGTATGAATACAGGTAGCAAAGTCTACATTCAAGTGGTGCTGACATCGGGGAAATTTCCAAAACCAGTTGCTAGGGCCTAAGAGTGGGTGCCATTGACAAGAGCGTGCGGAAACCTGTATTTACCGAGGGATCCTGGCATTGTGTCATGTCAAAATTGGGACCCTTTGCAATAAGTCAGCAAGGAATAAGGCAGCGGCAAATGCAGAATGTGTGAGTCATGAAACGTATTAGCCAGCGCCAGAGCGTCACATTATTTCACCAAGCGTGAACTTCACAAATGCATCATCCTGTTCTGCCAGTTTTGTGTTCGATTTCTTCATGCTCTTCTCGAATTTTCTCATCACATTTTTTCAGAAAACGTTCACAGACCTACTCATCCTGCCCTAGAGTACACAAGCCCTGTCTTTATTTAATGGTGAGGATGTTATAGATGAAGTCCTTTGAGGAGAAATGCTTGTGACGTGCATCAGAGAAGTACAATGGATCTGTCGTTTGGAAACTGGCTTCTGAAACGCCTTCTCTTCCGCATGCGTTTATTCTCTTATGCTGCACAGAATTTGCTCCGTGGTGAGCCTGGAGGAGACGTCTCTGGAGGAGTACAGTTCCATTCCCAGCTACTTCTGCGGAGCTGGTGGCTCGGAGGTGGGCACAAAGGCTGAAGGTCGCACATCCTGTGCTTCTGGAGGAGGTGCTGAAACCGGAGTCCGAATGTTTCCTTTCCAGCGGGGCTCCTCTCACCTTGGTGCAGTGCTGGTGTGAGAATGGGAAAAACAACTGGAGAGAGAGGCGAGGGAACGCAGGGACAGAGCGAGCCTAGCACGGGTCTCAGACGGAGCCTGGCGAGTCACGGGTGCTGGAGCGCCCTCCTGAGGACTGGAGCCCCCTGAGGACTGGAGCCGCCTGAGGACTGGAGCCCCCTGAGGACTGGAGCCCCCTGAGGACTGGAGCCGCCTAAGAACTGAAGCCCCATGAGGACTGGAGCCCCCCTGAGGACTGGATACCCCTGAGGACTGGAGCACCCTGAGGACTGGAGCCCCCTGAGGACTGGAGCCGCCTGAAGACTGGAGCCCCCCTGAGGACTGGATACCCTTGAAGACTGGAGCCCCCCTGAGGACTGGAGCCGCCTGAGGACTGGAGCCGCCTGAGGACTGAAGCCCCCTGAGGACTGGAGCCCCCTGAGGAATGGAGCCCCCTGAGGACTGGAGCCGCCTGAAGACTGGAGCCCCCTGAGGACTGGAGCCGCCTGAGGACTGGAGCCCCCTGAGGACTGGAGCCACCCTGAGGACTGGAGCCCCCTGAGGACTGGAGCCCCCTGAGGACTGGAGCCGCCCTGAGGACTGGAGCCCCCTGAGGACTGGAGCACCCTGAGGACTGGAGCCGCCTGAAGACTGGAACCCCCTGAGGAATGGAGCCGCCCTGAGGACTGGAGCCCCCTGAGGACTGGAGCACCCTGAGGACTGGAGCCACCTGAAGACTGGAGCCCCCTGAGGAATGGAGCCCCCTGAGGACTGGAGCCCCCTGAGGACTGGAGCCGCCTGAGGACTGGAGCCGCCTGAAGACTGGAGCCCCCTGAGGACTGGAGCACCCTGAGGACTGGAGCCGCCTGAAGACTGGAGCCCCCTGAGGAATGGAGCCCCCTGAGGACTGGAGCCCCCTGAGGACTGGAGCACCCTGAGGACTGGAGCCGCCTGAAGACTGGAGCCCCCTGAGGACTGGAGCAGCCCTGAGGACTGGAGCCCCCCGAGGATTGGAGCCCCCCGAGGACTGGAGCCCCCTGAGGACTGGAGCTGCCTGAAGACTGGAGCACACTGAGGACTGGAGCCCCCTGAGGACTGGAGCCGCCCTGAGGACTGGAGCCCCCTGAGGACTGGAGCCCCCTGAGTACTGGAGCCGCCTGAGGACTCGAGCCCCCTGAGGACTGGAGCACCCTGAGGACTGGAGCCACCTGAGGACTGGAACGCCCCCCTGAGGACTGGAGCACCCCCCTGAGGACTGGAGCCCCCTGAGGACTGGAGTCCCCTGAGGACTGGAGCCGCCGCAATTGCGTCCACTTAAGGGACAGAGGCCAAGGCGGGCCCGGAGGCCTAGTCAGGAGGGGCAGCACGACACGGGGCTCTTTATGTCTTTAATGTCTGCATTTATTAGTAAAAAGTACGATTTTGTAAGCTATGCTCTTTCTTTCAGAAATCTCAGTGGACTTCTTCCATGTTGAAACATGTAGCCACATGTAGCTGTGCTTTTTTCAGTTTTAATAAATTACAGCCTTCTATTTCTTCTCTTGTTGGAAAATTAAAAGCAATGCTATTTCTTGGGTTCATATTTTCCTTCAGATATATGCTCAAGTCTATCCAGAAAATAAATGAGAAGTGGAATTATGGTGAAAAAGAGTTTTCATGTATGAATTTTACAAAATTTCCACACTTCTCGCAGACTGTAATAATTTATATTGTCAGCAGGAAGATATTTAAATTTCTAATGCTCTTTATGCTTAGCCAAAAGTAACTATTGATACACTTTTGAATTGTTTGGTCTACCACCTGAATATTGTTACCACAAAATAAGTAGTACCCAATTAAATTTGAATTTCAGATAAACAATGAAATATTATTCTGTTCCATGCAGTATTTTTTAGCAAACTTATACTAATAAATTCTTTGTTATTTATCTGATATTCAAATGTAACTCTTGTCCTGTGTCTTGATTTGCTTAATTTGACCGTCTAGCAAAACTGACTCTGGATGTCAACTACATAAAAGTAATTGTTGGTGTTTTCTCTGTTGTTTTCTGTTATGTCTTAAGGACCTAAAACAGGGACTTGGCACATCTTTTGGGTATATAATGTTTTGTGACATTGTCGTAAGTAGTTGTAACTTTGTAATTTTATTTTATTTATTTGTTGACATAAAAACAAAATAGTAGTTATTACATTGATTTGCATCTAGCAACTTTACTAAATTTAATTGATAGTTTTATTATCTTTAGCAGTACATTTTTTTGCATCTTACTGAAATTTCAAAGCCAGATCAACTGGTAGTCTTCGATTTTACAATTTCTATTGGAGAAAATATAAACTGCATCTCTGTAATATGGAAAGTGTAATTTTAATTTTATAGCAAATGAGCTCTTTTTTCAAATATGTAGTTTTAAGGCTTGTTTGGAAACATTCTCAAAGTTGTTCAAAAGTTGCAATAACAACACAAAACTTTTCTTCTCTGAACCATTTGAGATTTGAACCATCACTTGTTAATAATACCTTAGAGGCTTTGCTACAAATAGAGACCTTTCTCCAACATAAGAAACGAATAAAACCACCCAAACCATGAAGTTACCATCGGTACATTACTACCATCTAGTCTACAGACCCTATTAAAATTTTGCCAATATCCCAATAATAATTCTTACATAGCAAAATAATCAAAGTCAGATGATGTGTTGCCTTTCTTTGTTATTCCTCTTTTTTTATTTTTTTCAGTTGTACTTTAAGTTCTGGGATACATGTGCAGAACGTGCAGATTTATTACATAGCTATACACGTGCCGTGGTGGTTTGCTGCACCCATCAACAAGCATACCATCTACATTAGGTATTTCTCCTAATGTTATCCCTCCCCTGGCCACCTATAGCCTGAAAGGCCCCAGTGTGTGATGTTCCCCTCCCTGTGTCCATGTGGTCTCATTGTTCACCTCCCACTTATGAGCGAGAACTTCCTATCAGTTACGTTGTTTATTACCTGGTTGATGAAATCTCTACATCAAACTCCCATAACACAAAATGTACCTATATAACAAACCCGCACATGTGCCCTGAACTAAAATAAAAGTTAAAAAAATAATGTGGAAGTATCAATATTTCCTTGCATTTCTATTTTTGGGTTTTTTGTTGAAAATAAACTTCTTAGTTCTTACAAGTTTATAGTTGTATCTTTTTTGTTACTAATTTTTCATTATGAAATATCTTTCATTGATAATTTTATTTCATTTTACATTGCATTTTATTTCATGTTATATTGAATTAGCAGGTCTGAATTGCTTTTTAAAATTTGCCCAACAAAAATATTTCTCTGTAATTTTATGCAGCTTTTCTTAAGCATATGTAAATCATCTTAAAAATCAATCTTTTGGATGGGCGTGGTGGCTCACGCCTGTAATCCCAACGTGTTGGGAGGCTGAGGCAGTCGGATCACCTGAGGTCAGGAGTTCGACCAGCCTGGCCAACATGGTGGAATCCCGTCTCTACTATAAAAAAAATATATATATATATATACATATATATATACATATATATATGTGTATATATATATATATATATACGTATATATGTATATATACGTATATATATATATATATACGTATATATACAAAAATTAGCCAGGCGTGGTGGCGTGCACCTGTAGTCCCTGTTACTCGGGAGTTTCACATAGGAGAATCGCTTGAACACAAAAGGTGGAGGTTGCAGTGAGCCAAGATTTCACCAGTGCACTCCAGCATGGGCAACAGGGCGAGACTGCGTCTCAAAAAAAAAAAAAAAAAAATTCTATCTTTTGCAGCTCTGTCTTTTAATGGTGCATCTTATCCAAGGCAATGTTTATAAATTTTCCTGCAATTTTATGTTATGTGTGTGAGTTTTCATGTTATATCTCCACCTCTTTTGCTTCTAATTGTTTAGTGTTACTTTTCCTATGCCTTTAGCTGTTCCACCCTCATGTGTCAAATTGATTTCTTGACCCTCAATTTGAATACTGCATTATTTAGTGAAGCTCTGATTTCTTTGTTTTTATAGACAGAGAAAGTCATAACGCATCAGTTATGACATGTCAAACTTTATAACATTTTAAAGTTTCTCTCCAATGGGAATGATTGTGTACTGTGTCTGGAGGGATAGATGGAATGTGAAGGGTACTCAGAAGCTTAGCACATCAGACTTTTGAACAAATCTTTCTTTCTGAGTCACCTTCATCATTCATCAATGTATTTCATTTCAGCTCTGAATGCCCCCTTCAAAATATCTGTAACATGGAATTTCATTAAAAATTCCTTTAAAATGAGTATAATATTAAGTTTTTGGGTGCAGCACACCAGCATGGCACATGTATACATATGTAACTAACTTGCACATTGTGCATATGTACTCTAAAACTTAAAGTATAATAATAATTAAAAAAAAGAAAACAGTGCAATGCAGAATGAACTATAAGAAAAAATATCTATGCCAATTAAAAAAACAAAAACAAAAAATAATATTAAGTTTTCTCTCAATATAGGGCAGTTGTAAAAAAAAAAGGGGGGGTAATTGTAAAAAAAAAAAGGACATTTGTTAAAAAAACAAAAAATAGTGATAACAATCACATCCCATTTAGTTCATCAGTGTGGCCTGTGCAGAAGTCAGATGGGTATTAGAATATGAGTATGGGCTATCATCAACTTAACCCATGGGAAATCCAATAACAGCTGCTGTCTCAGATGTTTGGTCTTTTCTGCAGTCAGTTATAACAACTCCTGCTACTTGGTATGTGGCCATTAACTTGTTTTCTAATCTCTCTATAACAGTATATAACTACCACCAAAGGCAATTTGCTTTTACTTGTCAGGGCCAGCAATATAGCACCTCAGGGATACACAAATTTCTCTGCTCTTTGCTATAATATGGTTTGCTGAAGTATTTATTCTTTTGATATTCGAAAGATCATCACATTGGTTGACTCTTTGATTAACTTAGGCTGATTGGTTCTGTTTAGTAGAAAGTAGCAAGGACTTTAAATGCTTTAATAAGGAATATTAAAATAAGAGGCTAGAAAATAGCCCCAGTCAGTTTAAAGAACTCACCATCTCAGTGAAGGTCACAGTGATTTAAAACATAATGAGAGCTTCCCTCCAAGATGGAAAACAAGTTGATTTACCCACCAGGACAAAGAAATAGGCAAAATGTTTGGATTTTGGAAGCAGCACGGACCACATTTGAGTGTTTTACATTGACTCATGTAAAAAGTCGCTGTAAGGCTGTTTTGAGTGGAGACTAGAGCAAGGAAAGTCTCTGCTGAAGGATCAGGCTGCAGCACAACTGCTGTACACATCAGTGATGAATGGTTTTGCTAACAGTCAAGAAGTTGGACGAAGAAAATGAGAAGATTGGTGGCAAGGAATTTTGATGAAGAAGTATGTGGATAAACCTCCCATAATTGGCATGGATTGTGAAGATACCTGTGTTTTATACAATGCAAGGGCATCTGTCCCACAGGAGACTCTTATCCACCATTGAATGAAATTATGTGCTCTATAAAAAGTAGTCAGCTTCTTTTCCTGGTTAATGGTTTTTGAACAAAATGACCGTAGTGGCATGGATGAAAGCTATGCCTGGGATCAACATTCTAAACTTTCCCTTATCAAAATCACCTGGTTACTCCTATTACTGAGTGCTTAATCTGAAGATAGCGCAGAACAACACTGAGTTCCCTACATCCTATTATTACCCTGGGTACCAGACTTCCCCCATTAGACCTATTCCATAATGGAACAGACATTTGTCCTTACTGGAATAAGCACATATTTTTTATGTGGATTTGCCTTCGTTGATCATAATGCTCTGCCAGCACCACTATTGTGGATTCACAGAATGTCTAATCCACTATCATGGTATCCAGTGGAAAAGTGAATTAGATCAAAGGAATTATTTCACAGCAAAGGAAGTTTAAGAACGGGTTTATGGTCTTGGAATCAACTTGTCATACCATATACCTCATTGCCAAGAAGAAGTTTACCTAGTTGAAGGGTGGAATTGATTATAAAAAATTTAATTGCAGCACCACTCAGGATAAAACCCCTTGAACACATGCGGTTCTGCTTTACAGGGTATTCTTTTTGCTTGTAGAATTCTGCCTCCTTCCTGGCCAGAACCCATGATCTGAGAATGAAGTAATAGAAACGGTGTGGCTTCTCTCATCATTATATTTAATTATCCATTTACAGAATATGTACTTTCTGTCCTAGACATTTTGACCTCTGTTGGTTTAAAGATTTTGTTCCATAAGGGGAAAATTATTCCATTGTGAATGCAGCTACAGTTGCCCTGAATTAGAAGATGAAACTGACATTCAACCATTTAATGCCCCTTATGACACTGAACCTATAAATAAAAAGAGAGCTCAATTTATGGAATGCGGTGATTGATACTGCTTACCTAGGCAAAACTTTGGTTGCTGCTATCCAATAAACGGAAGAAATTCTGTAAGTCGGGCCCAGGGAATTCGCTAGTGTAACTTTTAATATTTTCATGACTGACAATATAAATAACTGTAAAATCACACAAATAAAAAAATGCAGAATGACTGATGACTCATAACATTTGAAAATAAAGGTTTGGGTCACTTTACCTAGTAAAGAATGTGTTTGCAGATGACATGATTGTATATTTAGAAAACCCCATAGTCTCAGCCCAAAATCTCCTTAAGCTGATAAGCAACTTCAGCAAAGTCTCAGGATACAAAATCAATGTGCAAAAATCACAAGCATTCCTATACACAAATAGCAGACAAACAGAGAGCCAAATCATGAGTGAACTCCCATTCAAATTGCTTCAAAGAGAATAAAATACCTAGGAATCCAACTTACAAGGGATGTGAAGGACCTCTTCAAGGAGAACTGCAAACCACTGCTCAACAAAATAAAAGAGGACACAAACAAATGGAAGAACATTCCATGCTCATGGATAGGAAGAATCAATATCATGAAAATGGCCATACTGCCAAAGGTAATTTATAGATTCAATGCCATCCCCATCAAGCTACCAATGACTTTCTTCACAGAATTGGAAAAAACTACTTTAAAGTTCATATGGAACCAAAAAAGGGCCTGCATTGCCAAGACAATCGTAAGCCAAAAGAACAAAGCTGGAGGCATCACGCTACCTGACTTCAAACTATACTACAAGGCTACAGTAACCAAAACAGCATGGTGCTGGTACCAAAACAGAGATGCAGACCAATGGAACAGAACAGAGCCCTCAGAAATAATACCACACATCTACAACCATCTGATCTTTGACAAACCTGACAAAAACAAGCAATGGGGAAAGGATTCCCTATTTAATAAATGGTGCTGGGAAAACTGGCAAGCCATATGTAGAAAGCTGAAACTGGATCCCTTCCTTAACACCTTATACAAAAATTAATTCAAGATAGATTAAAGACTTAAACGTTAGACCTAAAACCATAAAAACCCTCGAAGAAAACCTAGTCAAAAACCTAGGCAACACCATTCAGGACATAGGCATGGGCAAGGACTTCATGTCTAAAACACCAAAAGCAATGGCAACAAAAGCCAAAATTGACAAATGGGATCTAATTAAACTAAAGAGCTTCTGCACAGCAAAAGAAACTACCATTAGAGTGGACAGGCAACCTACAAAATGGGAGAAAATTTTTGCAATCTATTCATCTGACAAAGAGCTAATATCCAGAATCTACAAAGAACTCAAACAAACTTACAAGAAAAAAACAAACAACCCCATCAAAAAGTGGGCAAAGAATATGAACAGACACTTCTCAAAAGAAGACATTTATGCAGCCAAAAGACACATGAAAAAATGCTCATCATCACTGGCCATCAGAGAAATGCAAATCAAAACCACAATGAGATACCATCTCACACCAGTTAGAATGGCAATCATTAAAAAGTCAGGAAACAACAGGTGCTGGAGAGGATGTGGAGAAATAGGAACACTTTTACACTGTTGGTGGAAGTGTAAATTAGTTCAACCATTGTGGAAGACAGTGTGGCGATTCCTCAGGGATCTAGAACTAGAAATACCATTTGACCCAGCCATCCCATTACTGGGTATATACCCAAAGGACTATAAGTCAGGCTGCTATAAAGACACATGCACACGTATGTTTATTGCAGCACTATTCACAATAGCAAAGACTTGGAACCAACCCAAATGTCCAACAATGATAGACTGGATTACGAAAATGTGGCACATATACACCATGGAATACCATGCAGCCATAAAAAGGATGAGTTCATGTCCTTTGCAGGGACATGGATGAAGCTGGAAACCATCATTCTCAGCAAACTATCGCAAGAACAGAAAAACAAACACCGCATGTTCCCACTCATAGGTGGGAATTGAACAATGAGAACACTTGGACACAGGAAGGGGAACATCACACACCGGGGCCTGTCATGGGGTGGAGGGAGGGGGAAGGGATAGCATTAGGAGATATACCTAATGTAAATGATGAGTTAATGGGTGCAGCACACCAACATGGCACATGTATACATATGTAATGAACCTGCACGTTGTGCACATGTACCCTCGAACTTAAAGTATGATTTAAAAGAAAGCTCAGGGTATTACATGGAACAGATTGAAGAAAGAAGCGATAAATATTAATTACAAATTAATATCCAGTTATAGAAATGAGGATTGTGATGGCATTTCATATTTTCTCTATGCTTGTTACATGCAGGTGTTTATTTGTACATATACTAATCATTCTATTTTTCTATAGCTTCTCACTTAAAAATTATGTAAGACTTATGGGAGGTAAATTTTACAACTTAGTCCTTAGGTGATAATGTATTCAGTGAGACCATGACTAAGTTGGAAAAAATTAATATAGCCCACAATGTATAAATGATTGTTAGGATTGTGAGTCTTCTTATTCTAGGGAAGAGTGAGAACTTCTTTACTTGAAAGAGCTACAGATATATATTGCTATACAGGAATATAGAATTGTTTTGCTGTTACAAAAAAGGTAAAACATGTATTGAAAGATGCATATGGAAGCTGACTGGCCAAAACAATAGAGTGTCAATGTTCAATCTATTGTCCTTCAGCTCCAAGTGCATCCTTTAATATAATTTCTGTGGTGAACAATGGAATTTCTTTGAGTGTTTTTCATTTAAAGTGAACATGACATTAGGCTTTTTCAGTATTTAGTACTAGAGGGACTCCGCTGGGAGAAGACACTTTCTACAATCTCTGCAGGGTGTCAGAGAGGTTTGAGTACCATAATTTCTAGTAGATCCTTCCTCAGGAAGATACCTAGAACACTGTCTATGTCAGTCTGGCCATAACCTTCCTGTAGTCCTGTTGCCATGGAAACAAAGGCCTGTGTAACATGCTCAATAGTGTCTGTGGCCCAGAAAGTCACATGCTGAGCAGTAGCTCCTTCTGTAAGTTCACTGCTGTCATGGTATTTAGCCTCTGTATTCTGAAGTCCTTCTACCTCCATTGGCACCTGGACTTCAGCTATATTCCCAGGTCACTGCTTGTTGCTTGCCTGCTCTCTGGACTGCACTCTGGACAGTTTCCTGTTTTTTTCCCAGCAGCTCTATACCAGCTCTGCCCTGGCTAAACCAGCAAACTTTACTGCTTTGAACCATCCTTTCTCCAGTGAGCTGTGTACGTTTTTCAACTTTGTCTTTTTTGGGTACTCTCCCTTGCCCTAGGTCAAGAAATTCCAAATATTATACAGAGTTTTAAAATGATATACATTATAGTTACACTTTATTATAGACAGTAATTCTGTATAATAAATGTCTCCTTTTAAAAATCCCCTTGTACTTTCTGTCTCCTAATTGGACCCATACTGCCAGAGGAACTTGTTCTAATCCCAAAACCAAGGAACCATGATATGGCCAGAAATACCAGTAAGATTGCAGAACTAAAGTGTCATCTAAGTACCCAAAAAAATAGATAGTTCGTTTGTGTGTGTGTGTGTGTGTATGTGTGCGTACACACACGCGCACATAAGGTACACGTAGTGGAGGCTGCAGGTAGAAGCCTATAGTACAAGTTTAAAAAGCATAAAACAATATAAGGCTGATACAAAGATATGTGTGTGAATTGAGTTATTGTTGAATTAATACCATATCTACATTCTTCAAAATGAACCAATGTTGAGGTTTTATGCTATTATACATTTTGCTTCTGGTATTTTGTTCTAGAATTACATTGATGTAAGTACAAATGGCCTCATTAAATGGTTAAATTATGTATGTGTATGTATGTGTCTGTATACAATTATATATATATATATGAAAGGAAAAAAAGTTACACATTATTATGATTAGGGTGTAAGCAATAATAGTTGCAGATAGTCTTGAATGTCCACTAACAAAGTTGTATTGATAATCAGCAGGACTGATGGAAGTGGGAGTTTGGTGGGTACAATGAGACAAGAGCAGGGGCTGGAGATATCAGGAAAAATGGAGATATGTATTGTTTTTACATAATATGAAGAGAAAATTTCCTGAACACAAATAGATACAGCCTCTAGATTTAGAAACAGACTCTGATGTTTCAGTACCAAGCAATGCTAACCATTTTTAGTGAACATCAAAGAAACAGAGATATGGAGGAAGAAGGAAAAAACAGCAAAGAGAGCTTACTCTTCACAGTGACCAGAATGATGGTAATTATCTTCACAAATAATAATCTATTAAATATGTTTTTATTGTTCTCAGTGGTTTCAGAAATTTTAAAATACATACTGGATATTCCATACCTACAGAGATAAATAATCTTTTATAACATGAGCAAAACAAAATGATGTAAGAAGATGTTAAATTAGTAGTAACATTGAGTTTGAAACAAATAGGGCATTGTAGAACACCACTCTATAGAATGAATATTGTGCTCCCTGCTAGACATAGGAGACACCAGGAACAAAGACATGAGCCTGGTTTCTGTTTTGCATGGCCTGTATAAATTTAAATAGCGTCTAGATTCTTTTTCCTTATCAGTAATTTCAATTAACTTGCAAAAACTATTACATTTCAAATTATAAATTAACTTCAGTAAAATACTTCATTAATACTAGACCAAGGAGAAGAAAACAACTGGATTAGAAAATAATTTTGATAATTTAGAAACTATTTGAGTTTTAAAAAATCAGATGGTGACCTGAATGAAATTATCTATATCTCATAATACCATAGATTTATGGATATAAATAAATCTAACTTTATGTAATCAAAAGTGTATTATGCTTAGAAGCAGATATTACAAAATTTAATTTTCTAATTTAGCCAAGTGATTTTAAATAACTATGATCATGCTTTTTTCTTAATTGTTAAAAAGATAAGGATTATTGGGTGGGGGGCCGGGGGAGGGACAGCATTAGGAGGAATACCTAATGTAAATGACCAGTTGATGGATGCAGCAAACCAACATCGCACATGTATACCTATATAACAAACCTACACATTGTGCACATGTACCCCAGAACTTAAAGTATAATAAAAAAAGATAAGGATTAATGAATATTCTCTCTTTATTTCCTTCAACCCAATATATACATTGTTGTGATGCATAGTCATTAACGTATAGTATTATGGATTAATATTAAAAATATTTGTTAGCTATTACCATACTTTTTGTTTTATGTACAGGTTCACTACTTATT